>NC_000007.14:119779506-120082536 GCF_000001405.40 Homo sapiens | reverse complement strand
ACTATCTTATTTCTCTTAAAAAATTGTGAATCCTGATGTTTATAAAAGGAAAGAGAGAAACGAATATAATAACTTTAAATTTCTATTACTTTTTTGCACCACTGATGAAAACTTTTGCAACATACATTTAAATTCCATTTTAAAGCATAAATCTGGTCAGACATGCTCTGATTCCTTATATGAAGTTAACTTCTAGTAGTACACTACATAGTTAAATCTCTTTGGTGTCTTAGTAGCTCAAATCTCTTGCAAAGATCTAGGATTTTAAAAATAATTTCCCTACTTTGACTCTGAAGAAATACAGTAATTTCAAGATATTAGTGGTTTTTTGTTTTGTTTTAATTTTTTATATATATATTTTTATTATACTTTAAGTTTTAGGATACATGTGCACAACATGCAGGTTTGTTACATATGTATACATGTGCCATGTTGGTGTGCTGCACCCATTAACTCATCATTTACGTTAGGTATATCTCCTAATGCTATCCCTCCCCACTACCCCCACCGCAAAACAGGCCCCAGTGTGTGATGTTCCCCTTCCTGTGTCCAAGTGTTCTCATTGTTCAATTCCCACCTATGAGTGAGAAAAGGCAGTGTTTGGTTTTTTGTCCTTGTGATAGTTTGCTGAGAATGATGGTTTCCAGCTTCATCCATGTCCCTACAAAGGACATGAACTCATCATTTTTTATGGCTGCACAGTATTCCATGGTGTATATGTACCACGTTTTCTTAATCCACTCTCTCATTGTTGGACATTTGGGTTGGTTCCAAGTCTTTGCTATTGTGAATAGTGCCTCAATAAACATATGTACGCATGTGTCTTTATAGCAGCATGATTTATAAAGTAAAGATATGTTGTTAAAAATTAATATAGACAATTATTAATATAGGATAAAAATAACACTAATATTATTCTTTGGGTTATATTTGATATATACCCAAATATATATATTTGGGTATATATTTGGTATAATCCTTTGGTATATAACCAAAGGATTATATTAGTGTTATTTTTATCCTCAAATATATTTCAAATTAATTAAAAATAGGCCCTAAATCCTCCACCATCTTTGATATTTCTTTAAGAATTATAGTTGTCTATATTAATTTTTAACAATGTATCTTTATTTTGAAGTAATTTTTGAATTCCCACCTCACAATGATTTGACAAGAAAGAATGCCAAAATGACAAGAGATGCTTCATAAAAAATAGAAAAATAAATTTTTTAATTCCTGTCCAAGCTTCTGGTTTCAATGTCATGGAAAAGAGATACTGCTTCCCACCTCATCTGTGAAAAAAAAATCTTAACAAATTAACAAGGATGTCACGGAATACAACCACAAAATTCATCTGCAATGAAAGTAGGATAAATTTGCAAAAGTGACCCACGGTATTAGAATACATAAGTCAGAAGAATAAATGAGAAATAACTTAGCAAAGAAAAAGATGTCATAACTAATTGCCTTTAAGTTGGGATGCAGCTGAAGAAGTAGGGGTGTAGTGACAGACCCAGAGAGCCTTTGGAAAGACATGGAAACAGACACATCAGGTACTGTGACAGCGTGAGTATTGGCACAAAAAACGGGGCTTGATGAAAAGTTAGTTAAAAAAAAAAAAAAAGGGAGGGGGAGTCTATATTAGTCCCTCAGATCTTCTACCCAATGTAGGTATACAGCAGGGAAGTGTATTTTGTGTATTAGGGACCTTAGGAAAAGTGGAAGTTAAGGAGAAGGTGCTATTCTGAGTATACAGTTCAATAATTCCCAGTTTGCATTATACAAAAATGAGACTACCCAGCCCTTTTGCCTATGTAGATCCTAAACAACAGCAGACAGATTTATATTTACCACCCAAATAGGAGACTTGACTGCCTTCCAGTAAATTCAATCCACATAGAACTTTCAATTTTTAGGGCCTTGTTTGTAAGTTTAAATGGGCTGCCAACATTTAAAAATGAATGACATAAATAAAGCAAACAAATAGAAAAAAATGGAGACAATAATAGGAGAAGAAATATACTAGTAATATCTTCAGAGAAAATGGAGAGGATATGACAACTATTAAACAGTGCTTAAAAATGATTCAGAGAAAAAAGTCAAAAATTCAAAAATAATATTTATGGAAATAGTAAAATCATTTGTAGAAATGTCAAATCTTACCTTTCAAGAAAAAGAAATGGAAGACAAGATGATGCTCAATAGGAGAAAATAAAAAAGAAAAAGTAATTGAAGAAGTCAAAACCTGGATAAAACAGAACTTCAGCAAAAAAAAAAAAAAAAGAAAAGTGAAAATAGAGGAAAGGAAATTCTTAAAATGATAATTAAAAAAAAAGTCTCAGAAGTGTAGGTATGAATTTCCAGGATTCAAAGAGCTACATGCTTGGTTCAGGAAATGAGAAATAAACTTATGAAAATATATTATCATGGAATTTTACAGCATAGAAAGTAAAGAGATGTTACTAAAATAAGTCCTAAAACTAATATTATTCTCTGCCTTGACACCTGGTAAATTGGGAGTGCCTCTAATGGTCTCACTGCAAATGTTCCCCAACCACCACTTTGCTCCTACAGATAAGGTCAGCTTCGTGATACTACAAATCCTGCCTCCCACAGCTTCTAACCGTTCACCCTGTTCCTGAGTGCAAACCACTACAGTGTCCACCTCCCTGAACTGTAGGTACATGTAACTAATAAAACGCTGTTGATCTTATCTCTCCAGTGTAGGATATTATGTTTTAAACATCTCCCATAACTCAGAGTGACAGTCCTCCCTCATTAACAGGGTGATTAGGAGACAATTAAAACACTAAAGTTTTTCAAATAACAAATAAGTTTTCTAAATACAAAGGATGGTAGATCAGAATAATATCAGTTTCTTAAATGCAATAGAAACAAGAATATTAGAAAATATTTTCAAAATTTAGAAGAAAAATGTATTTGCAATCTAAAATTATTTATTCATTCAAACTAATAAATATCAGAGTAGAATAAAGTATTTTTAGTTTCAAAGTATAGAAAGTATAGAAAATTTGACTGTCATGTACTTTTTTTACAGAAGCCCTTTGAAAATGGTTTCTATCAAAACAAGAGAAGTCAAGACAGAAGCAGAACTGTCATCCAGGGAACAGAACACACAACACAGTAGAGATTCAAAAGAAAGAGACAGAAAGAAAGAGATGAAAGAAGAAAAAGAAAGAAAGAAAGAAAGGAAGAAAAAGAAAGAGAAAGAAAGAAAGAAAGAAAGGAGGGGCAGAGAGAAAGAAAGAAACAAAAAAAGAAAGAAAAGAAAAGAAAAAAGAAAGGAAAAGAAAAGAAAGAAGGAAGGAGGGAAGGAAGAGAAAAAGCAAGATCACAGCAAAATGGAGTATCTGTGTGATGGTTGTATCGCAGGTCTGAAGTGCACAAAGATGCTATTTTAGTAGAAAGTCAGATGTCACAAGTAGTCTTGAGAGTGGAAACATGAAGCATGCTTAAAAATGAGATGAAAGCTTTGGCAATATGGGAAATTTTAAAATGAGGCATTTTACAGAATTTCTGGAGTTTGTGTGGTGATTTATTTGTAAGTTCAAAGAAAATCAAATCAAATGGGGAGGGATAGGAATTTTTAACTCTTTTCAAGGTTTAAGAAACTTTAAGTTTTAAAGGAAGGAAATGTAATCAGAGTAGACTTCTTGGCTCAGCAGTGAGGAATATTTGAAAAATCATCACGGAAATACTAAATGATTTTAAGTAAAAATTTAGGCATAATTATATTGAGTGGAAACTGAAAGGTATAAATTAGCCAAAGAATAATACTATCTTATAGTAAGAAGTTTAAATTGATTATGTAATATATAATAGTATATTCATATTATTTGGATCTATGGAGAAAATCACCAAATGAAATAGTTAAATATTAAATGTGTTTGCCTTTGAGGTCATAAAGAGACAAGAAACACTTTGGAAAATATATGCATTTCAGAAATAGTTGACTTTTAAACAAGTTTTATCATATATATTTGTTAAATATGAATTTTAAAAGCAATCTGGATTATATTTCTGATTATTGAAAATATGTTCCGTAGTCACATTCACTAATAACTTAGTGTTTTCCACTATTTTTTCTGATAAAATTATTTGTAATTGCTTACACCATGACAATTTTCACAATATTAATTCTAAATTTTTGGATGTTTTTTATTTTGCTTCATTTCAGTACTTCAGTTTATTCCCCTCCATCTCACATGGTAAGTTAATTAGAATCTTAAGAATCATTATGTTTTTCTCATTAACAGTACTCTTTTGAGATTAAATTATGTTGAAAATAAAATGATTCTTGAGTTCTAATTTATCTCTACTTTATGGCAATTGGGAACTTAATTTATCTAATGAGATTCAGCCTAAATCTCTAAGATATGGGTTGTGATGGCTGCCTAATAATTTTTTTGAATATTGTGTTTCTAAAAATTCTAGTTATAACTAGAGATATATAAAATATGTTTGATGATTCATTAATGTTCGATAGAAGATTTAAAGTTAAAAAGATATTCTTATCAAAAGCCTTTTAAATGTCTAGTATTTCGTTTTGAGTCTAAATAAAATGATATAATAAATAATCGTTATTAGAATTGAGTTTGTGTTTCTAAATTTGGAACCTAGTTTGCATCCAGTCTGATATTCACACATTTTCTGTTTTACTTAGTCAAAAATAATCTGGATATCAAATATGCTTTTACTTATCCAAAAAAAATTTACATATGGAAGGACATGTATACTGCTGTTCAGTTTTAAAGTTATAGTCACATACAGATACATATATAGGTATTTTTGTGATTGTGGCTAAATTTAATGCTTGCAGTTTTGCACTGTAATTAAGAAATGAGGTCTCTATATAGCAGCCCCTATAGGGAAAACTGTTGGTGAGGATATAAATTATGGCAAACTCCAGAGAGCTGAACCCAAGGAGAATAATGTGGGTAGCTAAGCAGCTGTACTAAGGGTTATATAATAGAACTGCATGTCTGTGGCCTCTCCAGCATAATGAACATCTCAAAAACAAATCCCTGAATTAACATCTCATTTTATGCACAAATTTCATTTTCAGATTATTTAGATTATTTTTAGCTTAGATAAATCTAAAACATTTTATGAATTAGAACTAACAATTTAGTAGTAAACATTGGATTTGAATGATAGTACAATTCTCATTGATTTGAGATTAATATTGGCTAAGCTAAATGGATTGCGTTTATCATTAATACTGATAGAATAGACTCTAGACAAATATTTGGATCCAAGAAGGACCTCTAGTCATATAATTAGAAAAAGTAAATAAATATCAGAGTAAATAATTAAGAATATTTGTTTCAGACTTATTTTACCTTTGAAACAAGATGAATGTTTTAAAAAATTCTGAGGAGCACAGCAGCTGGAAGACAAAAATAACTTACGGAGAAATTTGAAAAAAGTCATATGGACATACCAATAGCCCACCTACAACTTAAGGCATAAAATATTTGTCTGAGATACTTGAGATATAATTTCATTTAAATATTTTAAAGTAAATATTGTAAGATTTATAGCAAGTGTCAATAGAACTTAAATGTACATCAAACCTTTCCAAACAGCAAATTAAGAACAAACACAGGCCAGGCACGGTGGCTCATGCCTGTAATCCCAGCACTTTGGGAGGCCGAGGCTGGCAAATCACCTGAGGTCAGGAGTTCAAGACCAGCCTGGCCAACATTGTGAAACCCATCTCTACTAAAAATACAACAAATTAGCCGGGTGTGGTGGTGTATGCCTGTAATCCCAGCTACTGGGGAGGCTAAGACAGGAGAATTGCTTGAACCCCCGAGGCAGAGTGAGCCGAGATTTCATCTCTGCACTCCAGCCTGGGCGACAGAGTGAGACTCCAACTCAAAAACAAAACAAACAAAACAAAACAAAAACAACAACAACAAAAAATCATACAACTGAACAGTATAGGTATAGCAAGTAACACTAACATGATGCATACATTTTCTTGATGTTTCAAATTATCCCATTTTAAACTTTTATTTTAAGTTCAAGGTTACACGTGGAGGTTTGTTCCATAGGTAAATTTGTGTCGTGGGGGTTTGTTGTACTTATTGTTTCATCACCCAGGTATTAAGCCTAGTACCCATTAGTTATTTTTTCTGATCCTCTCCAATTTATCCAAAGATCCATAGGACCTAATGAACTAATTTTAGGAGATTCTGTAATATGTGTGTCAATTTTCATCATTTCAAATAAGGTATCTAGGCACACATACTTGGTTTTACAAACGTCTATGTACATTTTTCTTAAAACCTGGAAGTAATATGAATTCTAATTTCTGATTTCTCCTTGTTTTGTTTCATCAACTTAAGATTATTAAACTGTAACAAGCTACAGTACAAAATAATTAACACATTGCTGTAACAGATGAAAATAATGTGTACAGGAAAGGCAGGTGATATAAAACTGACAGCTGAAAGCTGAAGTTTACACAATCATCTTAAACCTAGCAATTACAAATTTTAAAAAAACTGGTAAGTGATACCCCCTTTATGATATTGCATATATATTTCTGTATTTATGAGCTAATTTAATAACAAAACTTTTATACTTTTCTCTTAGGACATGATGGTGTCCGAGTTTAGTGAAGATTTAGAAGAAAGTTTTTGATTAAATGAAATTAAACAAAATATTTAGTTAAAAAGGCACACAATTTAATACTTAACCAAAAAAATAAAGATGAAAAATTGAGGGCACAATTCAGGTAATTTACTGATACTTCTTTTTAAGATGTTTATACATATTTATTTTGCTTTTTAAATAATTTTAATTGACACATAATTGATGCACATACTTAAGGGGTACAGCGTATTTCAATACATGTATACAACATGCAATGAGCAAATCAGAGTAATTAGAATATCCGTTACTTCAAATATTTATTGTTTCATCATGTTGCAAACATTCAACAAAATCCTCTCTTCTTGCTATTTTAAAATACACAATACATTGTCATTATTTATAATCACCATATAATACAACAGAACATTAGAATGCATTTCTCCTATCTAGCTGTACTTTTGTATATGTTAACCAACTTTGACTATCCCCTCTCCCCGCCACCTATCCTCACTTTTAGTAACTATTATTCTACAATCTACCTCTATGATATTAATTTTTTTAGCTTCCACATTTGAATGGGAACATGAGGTATTTACCTTTCTGCACCTTGCTTATTTCACTTAGCATATAATGTCTTCCAAGCTCATCCATGTGGCCACAAATGACAGAATTTCGTTCTTTTGTTTTGGCCAAATAGTATTCAATTGTGTATATATACCACATTTAAAAGATAAATCTATTAATGGAGACTCAGGTTGATTCTATATCTTGGCTATTGTCAACAATGCTACAGTAAACATGAGAGTGCAGATATCTCTTTGACATGCAGATTTTTTTATATGAATCCAGTAGTGGGATTCCTGGAACACATGGTAACTCTATGTTTAGCCTTTTGAAGTGTGGACACTTTTTTGAAAAGTGTGGACACTGTTTTGTGTAATGGCTGGACTCATTCATATTCTTACCAACAGTGTATAAAAGTTCCCCTTTCTCTGCCTCCTCACCAGCATTTATTATTTCTTGATAATAACCATAGCATAAGATAATATCACATTGTGATTTTGATTTGCAATTCCATGATGATTAATGATGTTGAACATTTTTTCATATACCTGTTGGTCATTTGTATGTCATCTTTAGAGAGATATCTTTTCAGCTTATTTGCCCATTTTTAATTGGATTGTGTATTTGTTTACTGTTAGGTTGTTTGAGTTCCTTGTACGTTGAATTTTATATATGATGAAAGATAGGAATCTGTTTTTTTAATATATGTATATCCAGTTTTTCCAGCACACTTTCTTGAAGAGAATGTCCCTTCCCCAATGAATGTTCTTGGATTTTTGTCAAGTATCAATTAGCTGTATGTATGTAGATTTATTTATTTATTTGCTATTCTCTTTCTTTGGTGTATGTGTCTGATTTATGCCACCAAGTTGCTGTTTTGATTACTATAACTTTGTAGTGTATTTTGAAGTCCGGTAGTGTGATGACTCTAGCTTTATTCTTTTTGCTCAGGGTTGTTTGCCTAGTCAGAGTCTTTTATGGCTCCATACAAATTTCATAATTTCTTTGAAGAATGTCATTGGTATTTTCCTGGGGATTCAATTGAACCTATAGATTACTTCTGGTAATATGGTCATTTTCATAATATTAGCTCTTCCCATCCATGAACATAGGATTCTTTTAATTTGTTTGTAT
This sequence comes from Homo sapiens, assembly GCF_000001405.40. Classification (NCBI taxonomy): domain Eukaryota; kingdom Metazoa; phylum Chordata; class Mammalia; order Primates; family Hominidae; genus Homo; species Homo sapiens. The sequence goes on along the minus strand of NC_000007.14, from coordinate 120,074,214 downwards.
CCTTTTAAATTTCTTTCATCTGTATTTTTTAGTTTTCATAGCAGAGCTCTTGTACCTCTTTAGTTGAATTTATTCCTGGGCATGTTATTTTATTGTTGAAATTATTATAAGTGAGATTGCTTTCTTGATTTCTTTTTTGATAGATTATTGTTGGTGTAAGGAAGCACTACTAATTTCTGTGTGTTCATTATGTATCCAGCAACTTTAAAAACTTCAGTTATCAGTTCTAAGAGTTTTTGGAGGAGTCTTTCAGTTTTTCTAAATATAAGTTTATGTTGTCTGCAAAGAGGGAGAATTTTACTTTCCAATTTGGATAGCCATTGCTTATTTCTCTCATCTAATTGTGCTAGCTAGGATTTTCAGTACTATGTTGATTAAAAGTGGGCACCCTTGTCTTATTCCATATCTTAGACAAGAAGCTTTCAAGATTTTTCCATTTAGTATGATGTTGGTTGTGAGTTTGTTATATGTGGGCTTCATGTTGAGGTTCATTCCTTCTATATCTAACTTTTTGACAGTTTTTATGAAAGAGTATTGAATTTGAATTTTATCAAATGCTTTTTCTGCATCTACTGAGATGATCATACTTTTCCTTCATTCTGTTGATGTGATGTGTTTTATTTATTGATTTTCATGTTGAATCATCCTTGCATCCCTGGGATAAATTCCATCTGTCCATGATAAATGACCTTGTAAATGTGCTATTAGATTCATTTTGCTAGGGTTTTCTTGAAAATATTTGCATCCATGTTCATCAGAGACATTGAAGTATAATTTTCATCTTTTTGTTGTATCATTTTCTGGTTTTGTTATCAGGGTAATACTGGTCTTGTAGAATTAATTCATAAGAATTTTCTACTTTTAAATTTACTGGAAAATTTTGAGAGGAATTGGTATTAATTCTTTAAATGTTTGGTTAAGTTTAGCGCTGAAGCAACTAGGTCCTAGGCTTTTCTTTGATGGAAGGATTTTTGTTAAAAACTCAATCTCATTACTTGTAATTGGTTTAGTCCAGTTTTCTACTTCTTCTTGGTTCAATCTTGTTAGGTTGTACGTGTCGAAACATTTATCCATTTCAACTGGATTTTCTAATTTGTAGGTGTATAGTTGTAATAGTCATGATAGTCTCTAATGACTATTTGTATTTCTGTGGTATTATACATAATGTCTGCTTTTCTATTTCTGATTTTATTTATTTTGGTCTTCTTTTGTTTTCTGGTTAATGTAGCTAAGTGTTCATTGATTTTGTTTCTCTTTTCAAAAAATTTATTTTGCCTACCTTCTACCTTTTTTTAAAAATTTAATTTGTTCTTACTTTTCTAATTCCTTGAGATGCATCGTTGTCTATTTGAAATCTTTATACATTTTTGATGTTGACATTGATTGCTATTAACTTTCCCCTTAATTCTCCCTTTGTTGTATCCCTAGTTTTGGCATGTTGCATTTCTATTCCATGTTTTAAGAAATTGTTTGATTTCTTCTTAATTTTTTATTGATTTATTCATCGTTTAGTAGCATGTTTTTTAATGTGCACATATTTGTGCAATTTCAAAAGTTCCTCTTACTATTAATATCTAGTTTTATTCCATTGTGGTCAGAAAAAATACTTCATACTATTTTAATTCTTTTAAATTTGTTGAGACTTGTTTTGTGGCTTAACATGTGGTCTGTCCTGGTGAATATGCTGATGAGAAGCTTATATATTTTGCAGTTGTTGGGTGAAATGTCCTGTAATGTCTATTAGGTCCATTTAGTCTAAAGTGTAGTTTAAATCTAATGTTTTTTTGTTGATCATCTGTCTGAATGATATGTCCAGTGCTGAAAGTGAAATGTTGACATCCCAAACTATTACTATATTGGAGTCTATCTCTCCCTTTAGAGGTAATATTTGCTTTATATATCTGTGTGCTCTGTTATTGGATGCATATATATTTAGACATGTTATATACTCTTACTGAATTAATACCTTTATCATTATATAAGGACCTTATTTGTCTCTCTTTACAGATTTTGACTTAAAGATTGTTTTATCGGATATAAATGTAGCCTCACTTGTTGGCTTTTGGTTTCCATTTGCATGGAGTACATTTTCTATTTCTTCATATTCAGTCTATATAACTTCACAGGAAAAGTGAGTTTCTTGTAGGCAGCATATAATTGAGTGTTTTTTTTCCATTCTTCAAGTCTATGTATTATAAGTGCTGAATTTAATACATTTAATTCAAGGTTATTATTGATAGGTAAGGACTTAGTCCTGTAATTTTGTTCATTGTACTCTGGTCATTTTTTTATATTTTGTGTTTCTTTCTTCCTCTTACTGTTTATCACTGCAATTTGGTGGTTTTCTATAGTGATAATTTAGAATTCTTTTCTCTTTCTTCTTTTTGAATTTGCTATATTAGTGAATTTCATAATTTTGTGTGTTTTCATGATAATGATTATCATCTTTCACTTCTAGATACAGGAGTCCCTTGAGCATTATTTTGTAAGATCAGCATTGTAATGATGAATTCCCTCAGGTTTTGCTTGTATAGGAAAAACTTTATTTCTCTCTCATTTCTGAAGAATAGCTTTGCTAGGACTCTTGGCTGGCAAGTTTTTTTTCCCCAGTGCTTTGAATATATCATTCCATTCTCTTCCTTTGCAACGTTTCTGCAGAAAACCTGCTGTTAGTCTAATAGAGATTCCCTTTTATGTGCCTTGATACTCTTGCTATTTTTATAATTTTTTTTGGCTTTTACTTTTGACATTTGACTATAACATGTTTTAGAGAGGACCTTTATGGGGTCTTATAAACTTTCTGTACCTGGATGCTCATATCTCACTCTAGACTTGGGACATTTTCAGCTATTATTTTACTAAGCAGATTTGCAATGCCTCGTTCATTCCTTCTCTTTGTCTAGCTCTCATCAAATGAACATTTGTTCTTTTAACGGTTTCCTGTAAGACCTGTAGGTTTTCCTCACTCTTTTTTATTCTTACATTTTTTTCTTTGAGTAATTTCAAATTACTGATCATCAAATTCGGAGAGCCTTTCTTCTGCTTGGTCAAGTCTGCTATTGTAGCTGCCTACTGTATTTTTCTATTTCATTCATTGAATTCTTCAGCTGCAAGATTTCCATTTATTTTTTAAATAATTTATAGTTTTTTTGAATTTGTGTTCATATCATAGTTTTTCTTTCCTGAATTTCATTGACTTGTCCATCTGTATTGTTATTGAACCTCACAAAGTTGCATTAAGACAATTATTTTAATTTATTTTCTGAAAGTTCATTGATTCTATTTTCATTGGGATCTGTTACTAAGGAGTTATTTTATTCCTTTGATGGCACCACATTTCCTTTATTTTTTATTTTTCTCATGTTTCTTTGTCAATGTCTGTGCATCTGGTAGAGCAATTATGGCTTCAAAACTTTCTTGAGTGTTCTTTGTAGAGAAAGACTTTCATTTGCATTTGGGTTTTAGTATGCTGCTTGTGAAGGGTATGATAAGCATTTCTGGATAGGTGCAGTAGTGTGGTCTCTGTGCAGCTTTTGCAGCTGCATTCAATCTCACCAATGACTTCAGGTGCCTCAGTGGCCTATGCTGTGGAAGTTTGTGGGAGCATCAGTGGCGGTATAAGTTGTTAATGTCCTCAGTGTCAAGGGTTTTTTGTGTCCTTCTATTTCCACTTTTCAAATTGAGAGTATCCTTCTCAAGTCTGACATAGCCTGTAAGCAGCTGCAGTAGCACTGGGTTCCAGGCACAGGTGCTTGGAGTGGCTGTGGGGCCACAGTCATAGGCTAAGGGGCTTGCAAACCTATTGTGGCACCTTGGTCTTTGGCTGATGATTCACTCTCTGTGGCTTGGTAGGGTGTAGATTGACCACAGAGCCAGAATCTGTGACTCTGAGGCACCAATTAGCAGTTTCGACTCAGGGTGTCAGGTTCTAGCTGTGATTCTACCCAAGGGGTTAAATCTGACTAAACAGGGCTCAGAAAACCCATTTTAATAGGGTACAGTAGCAAGTTGGATCTCAGGGAATGAAGCACTGTGTAGTATTGACTGTATACTCTGGGATGGTAGAATTCAATGGTATCCCAGAGTCTGTGAGGCCAGTTGCAGCAGCAGCAAGAAACACAGAATGGCAGAGTACAGCCATCATTTGGACCCTGCAGCAAGGTAGAGAATAGCTCAGTGATGGCTCCATTCCACAGGGAGGGAGGTATCTTAGCAGCTCATGCTTAAGGGGGCTAGTCCAGCTCCAGGCAAGCAGGGTACTAGAGATGTTTCGCCTGTATGATGAAATGTGGCAGCTGAGCCACTGCTCTATTTTTATGGGACATGGGGTACTACATCAGCTTAGCTCTGGGATGTTTAGCTTCTCAGCTCAGCCAGAGTTCCACTTCTTCAGAGGGCAATGAGCTTAAGCTCATGTCTGTGAGCTGGATAGACATATTTATGCACAGTGCAAATACCATTTTCCTGAGATCCAGGTGGCTCTTCTCCTTAGGTTCTGGGGCATGTGATTGCTCTTGGCAGCCAAAGGAACATTTTCCGGCATATAGGGCCCTGCTTCAACACAGGCACCTTGGAGACATAACTGCTCTGACAGCTAAGGTAATATTTCTTAGGAGAGATGGTACCACTTCAGCTGTAGGCACAGGGAACAAGGGGATAAGTGGTTGGAGTGGTTCTACTTCAATTTGGTTCCACAAGGAAGGATATAACATCTGCTTGCAGCTTGGCTTTGGGATGTTAGCCCACCAGACCGGTGTGGCCCACTGGCAACTTAGTCTCATTAATGAAGGGCAGCAATGACTGCTTGCCCCCAGTGTAAGACACACTCTGGTAGTTCTAATTCCAAGATGATATAGGACAGCAGTCATGTGGCCACTGGGGTGGGGAACAGTGTAAGCTCCTTCTCTGGAAGAGCACAGCTACCTTAATTCTGGGTAGCTCCCTTAGCTGGGCTTAGTGACTGTAAGAACTATATGGGACCCCAGTGGTGAGGTGAGATCTGTACATGTCTGTATTGGTTCTTTTTCATGGACCAATATGCTAATAAAGACATATCTGAAACTAGGCAATTTATAAATGAAAGAGGTTTATTGAACTTACAAATCCACATGGCTGGGGAGGCCTCACAATCATGGCAGAAGGCAAGGAGGAGCAGGTCACATCTTACATGGATGGCAGCAGGCAAAGAGCTTGTGCAGGGCAACTCCCATTTTTAAAACCATCAGATCTTGTGAGACCCATTCACTATCATGAGAACAGCACTGGGAAGACCCGCCCCCATAATTCAATCATCTCCCACTGAGTCCCTCCCAAAATGGGTGGGAATTATGGGAGCTACAAGATGAGATTAGGGTGGGGACACAGAGCCAAAACATATCATTCCACCCCGGCCCCTCCCAAATCTCATATCTTCACATTTCAAAACCAATCATGTCTTCCCAACAGTCCTCCAAAGTCTGAACTCACTTCAGCATTAACTCAAAAGTCTACAGTCCAAAGTCTCATCTGAGACAAGGCAAGTCCCCCCTGCCTATGAGCCTGTAAACTAAAGCAATTTAGTTACTTCCTAGATACAATGAGGGTACAGGCTTTGGGTAAATACAGCCATTCCAAATGGGAGCAACTGGCCAAAAGAAAGGGGCTACAGGCCCCATGCAAGTACAAAATCCAATGGGGCAGTCAAACCTTAAAACTCCAAAATTATCTCTTTTCACTCCATGTCTCATATCCAGTTCATGTCAATGGAAGTAGTGAGTTCTTGTGGTCTTGGACAGCTCTGCTCCTGTGGCTTTGCAGGGTACAGCTGAATTCCTGGCTGCTTTCATGGGCTGGCATTACATGTCTGCAGCTTTTCTAGGTGCACAGTTCAAGCTGTCAGTGAATCTACCACTCTGGGATCTGGAGGATGGTGGCCTTCTTCTCACAGCTCCACTAGGTGGTGCCCCAGCAGGGACTCTGTGTGGGAGCTCCAACCCCACATTTCCCTTCTGCACTGTTCTAATAGATGTTCTTCATGAGAGCCCCACCCCTGCAGTAAACTTCTGCCTGGACATCCAGGCATTTCCATACATTCTCTGAAATCTAGATGGAGGTTCCCAAACCCAATTTTGGACTTTTGTGCACCTGCAGGCTCAACACCACATGAAAGCTGCCAAAGTTTGGGGCTCGCACCCTCTGAAGCCATGGCGCGAGCACTACATTGGCCCATTTTAGCTGGGGCACAGAACACCAAGTCCCTAGGCTGGACATAGCATGGGGACTCTGGGCCCAGCCACAAAACCACTTTTCCTCCTAGGCCTCCTAGGCCTCTAGGCTTGTGAAGGGAGGGCCTGATGTGAAGATCTCCAACATACCCTCGAGACATTTTTTTCCATTTTCTTGGAGATTAACATTCAGCTCCTCATTACTTATGAAAATTTCTGCTGCTGGCTTGAATTTCTCCTCAGAATACGAGATTTTCTTTTCTATCACATTGTCAGGCTGCAAATTTTCTGAACTTTTATGCTCTGCTTCCCTTAAAAACCTGAACACCTTTAACAGCACCCAGTCACCTCTTGAATACTTTGCTGCTTAGAAATTTCTTCTGCCAGATATCCTAACAATCTCTCTCAAGTTCAAAGTTCCACAAATCTCTAGAGCAGGGGCAAAATGCTGCCAGTGTCTTTGCTAAAACATAATAGTCACCTCTGCTCCAGTTTCCAACAATTTCCTCATCTCCATCTGAGGCCACCTCAGCCTGGATTTCATTGTCCATATCATTATTAGCATTTTGGTCAAAGTGATTCAACAAGTCTCTAGGGAGTTCTAAACTTTCCCACATTTTCCCGTCTTCTTCTGAGCCCTCTAAACTGTTCCAATCTCTGCTTGTTACCCAGTACCAAAGTCACTGCCATATTTTCAGGTATCTTTTCAGCAGCACCCCACTCTACTGGTACCAGTTTACTGTATTTGTCTGTTTTCATGCTGCTGATAAAGACATACCCAAGACTGGGCAATTTACAAAAGAAAAAGGTTTATTGGGCTTACAGTTCCACATGGCTGGGGAGGCCTCACAACCATGGCAGAAGGCAAGGAGGAGCAAGTCACATCTTACATGGATGGCAGCAGGCAAAGAGATCTTGTGCAGCACAACACCCATTTTTTAAACCATCAGATCTTGTGAGACCCATTCACTATCATGAGAACAGCATGGGAAAGACACATCCTCATAATTTAGTCATTTCTCACTGGGTCCCTTCCACAATATGTGGGAATGATGGGAGTTACAAGATGAGATTTGGGTGGAGACACAGAGCCAAACCTTATCAATGTCTAAGGTGTTGAAAAGAGTTGTTGCGATCTTCTTTCTTACCTCCATGCTGTGGGGAAAATTTCCTCCTGGCTCCCAGCTAATCTCAATTGGGGGATGGGATGGTGGAAGCCTGGGATTTTTTTCTATTCTTTATGTGGCTATCCTGGATTTCTGTGCTCAACAGGGTTTCTGTTACTCCTCTTATGCACTCCGGCCCTCTCTCTCAGTTATTTTCATTAATATGTATTTGTTTAGTCATTGCTCTGGTTGACTTTGTGAGGGGGACAAGGTCAAGGGTCTGTTGGTCAGCCATTTTGCTGATGTTACTCTTCTGATTGATGCTTATCTTTGGAAACTGATAAAACTATCTAAAATTTATGGCTGTTTATATTGATCTTCTATTTTTTACTGGGGTATAGTGAGGCTTTAGAAAGTGAATCTTGACCTGCACATGTGTATGACTATGACTAACAGATGCCTTGGCCCTACCTTGAACAAACTGAGCTCACATCTTATTTCTAAAATTATATAACTAAATTAGTTCTCTCCTTTGGCTCATGCCCTTTTTGGCTTTCATTTCAATGCAGGAAGATGCTACTTTTGCTTCCTGAAGAGAGGAACACAATACATTGGTTTGTCCTTTTGCAGCATCAATTACTATCACTCAGAAAACAGGAGAGATGAAAATGACGGAACACATTAAAGTAGCAAATTGACACATACTGGCATCGTTACACTCTATCTGACTCTACACATTTATCATGAATTTAAGTATTAAATTTCTGTAGATGGGAAATTGTCTGTAAAATAAAAATGTCATGTATTATTTTTCCATGAATAGCGATGGGGTTTATTCATGGCTTCAAGAGATATAGTCTACAGAGTTTCTGCAAACTGAATAATAAAGGGAAATAGTAAGTAACAGAACATCTAAGCATGTTATGTTTCATGGAGTTACCTTGTTCATTTCAGACAAAGAGCCTGTAGGAGTAGATTTGTGGAGCTAGAGATGGCAGGTCCCTGATGGAAAGTCTGACTGTCTCCAGACAGGCAAGATTTTGAGCCCAGTGATTTTCTCCTGCTCATGAGATTAGTTTGTTTTATAATCTGCTGCTGCCGAACAAACTTTAACACTACTTATAGAAAGAAACTGGTGAGATGCTGAAAGGAAGAGAGAGAAAAACTTGTATTATGAATTAATGCAAGTGGAAGATAATAAAAACACCCCAAACCTAACAGATATCTTAAAGAAAATCTTACCAGACTTACTGATGTTCTTGAAATGTGTACAAACACTTCTATTTTTCTAAAACTAGAATAAAAAATTCAATTGTACAACTATTAAAATTTACTATAAGCTAAATTACTTTGTATTGTGCATCACTAATTTAATATGCACTCAACTAAAAGTCTATGTTGGTAATAGAATGCATAGAACAAGTAGAGTGAAAGATCAAACCTGTCCTATTTCTTAGTGATTCACATTACAATTTTGTTTGAGAACTAAACATGGAAGATTTTTATTTCTAAAAAATACTAACATCTCAGACCCCAAAGTGAACTTAAGTATATTTGAATAAAACTTTTAATTTCTCAAGTGAGGTAATCGTAGCCCATGAGGATGATGGACTTGCTCAATGGCATAAAATGAAACATTAATATCAACCATTATATTCTTACCTTCCACTCTGTTTGATTATATCACGTTTTCCATGTCTGTGTGAAACTGAGGGAATATCCAATTAGATGTCAAGCTGATAATACTGGCTATAGGTACTTTGAAATATTGTGGAAATTTTTATATTTAATTTTATTTGTATATGTGATACAAGATTCACATTAAGTTTTTCCAAAGCACACAGAAATCAGTTCTTTTTAAAATGGATATTCCTATTCTCATCCTAGTGATCTTGCTTACATAAAATGTTTGGGTGAGGAAGATAAAAAAGCCACCCATTTCAAATAGTACAGTAGGGAGTTGGGGTGATAAATAGCTTTTCAAAGACATGATAACAGATGCCATTAAAAGGCACAAGCTGTTAAATCTAGAGTCTCATATGTGCTTTGTTCTTGATTTCTAAATTTATCCCAGGTTGTTTTCAGAACTTAAAACACAGTCATGGGAGGCTGGTGATTAGAGAAACTATTTGAAGTTTCACAATCAGAGCAGCTGGTCAGAGATGACAGAAGATGATGCTGAATTGTATGAAGCAAATGCAAAAGAGTGATTGGGGAATGTTTTGGCAAGTAATAAAAGAAAACATCAGAGACTTTTAGCCAGTGTCAAATAGCATTTAAGTTATATATGTTTTTCAGACCCAATGTATCAATTGGTCTTCTTTCTTCTAAGTCATAAGGCCATATGCTTATTTGAGAATTATAGAAAGGAATTGTATTAGTCTGTTCTCATACCACTATAAAGAACTACCTGAGACTGGGTAATTCTGAAGAAAAGAGGTTTAATTGACTCACAGTTCCACAGGCTGTACAGGAGGCATGGCTGGGAGGCCTCAGGAAACTTATGATCATGGTGGAAAGTGAAGGGGAAGCAATCATGTCTTAACACAGTACAGCAGGAGAGATACAGGGAAGGGGGAAGTGTTACACACTTTTAAACAACCAGATCTCGTGAGAACCCACTCACTATCTTCAGAAGAGCAGGGGGGAAATTTGCCCTCATGATCCAATCACCTCCTACTAGGTCCCTCCCCCAACATTGGGAATTACAATTCAACAAGAGATTTGGGTGGGGACACAAAGCCACACCATATCAGGAATAAAATTTTGATTTAGAAAACAAGCATACAAGTAACACACAAAATGATTACTGAAATGATAGGTTACAAATTCTAAGGCATAATATCATCATCTCTCACCTAAACTACTATAATCAGACTCTATCTGGTCTCTCTGAAAAAATCTCCCTCCCTTAGTATTTATTATTTTAAAAAAGTTTTATTACTTTTATTTTGTATCAAGGAAAGAACAGAACATGATATCTACCCCTTAACACATTTTTAAATGTACAATCTGTTACTGTAATTATAGGTACAATGTTTTACAGAAAATCTCCAGAATTTAATAATCTTGGATAACTGACACTTTATACTCACCAAATAGTAACTCCACAGTTCTTCTTTCCCCAAGTCCCTGGTAACCACCATTCTACCCTCTTCTGAGTGTTTGACTATTTTATACACCTCACATAAGTAATATCATGCACTGTTTGTCCTTTGAACGGCTATTTCATGTAGTATAAGGTTCTCCAGGTTCATCCATGTTACACATGGCAAGATTTCCTTTTTTTAAAGACTGATTAATATTCCATTGTATGAATGTGCCATATTGTTTGTACCTATTCACCTGTTGATGGACAATTAGATCTTGACTATAGTGAATAGTGCTATAATGAACACCAGAGTGCAGGTACCTCATTGAGACATTGGTTTTAATCCTTTTAGATATGTGCCACTGGATCATATGGTGTTGCTAGGAAACTCCTTAGTGTCTCCATAAGTTTTGCACAGCAGTAGCATCATTTTGTATTCCCACTCACAGTTTGTAAGGGTTCCAATTTTACCACATCGTCACCAGCAGTTGTTATCCTGTATACTCATACAGGCATGTGCACACACACACACACACACACACACACACACACACAGATATAATATACATAGCTCTTATAATATATATATAGCTTATTAAATATATAGCTTGTATTTTATACATTTATATAATATATATATAAAATAGTCATCTTAACAGGTGTAAGGTGATATCTCATTGTGGTTTTGGTTTGCATTTTCCTAGTGATTAGTGATGTTGAGTATCTTTTTATGTACTCGTTGGCTATTTGTATATTATCTTTGTAAAAAATGTCTCTTCAAGTTCTTTGCCGTTTTAAAATTAGGTTATTTGTTTCATTGACTGTTTCTATTTACTTCTTTATTTATTATTTTTGTTATTTGAGTTGTAGGAGTTTCTTCTTTATTTTGGAGATTAATTCCTTATCAAATATATGGTTTGCAAATATTTTCTCCAATTTTGTAGGTTGTCTTTTCATTCCATAATTGTTTCTTTTCTATGCAGAGGTTTTTTTTTAAGTTTGATTAGGACAGAAATAAACAAAATGAAGAATAAAAAATAGAAAATAATCAAAGAAACAAAATATAAAATTGAAATATAATAAATTGATAAGTAATGAGCTAGATTAAGTAAAAAAGAGAAAACTCGAATAAATAAAATAGGAAGTGAAAGAGAAAACATTGCCACTCATCCACAGAATTGAAAAAGAATCCTACAAGGCTACTATGAACAATTATATGGCAAAAAATTAGATAATCTAGATGAAATAACTTCTTAGAAACACACAACCTTCCAAGATGAAATTATAAAGAAATAGAAAATCTGACTGTACCCATAACTAGCAAGAATATTAAATGAGTAATTGAAAACCTCCCAACAAAGGAAAGTCCAGGGCCAGTTGCCTTCACTGGTGATGAACATTTAAAGAAGTAATGCCAATCCTTCTTAATTTCTTCCCCCCAAAATTAGGTGAATAGGACACTTTCACATTCATTTTATGAGTAGCATGCTGCAGTTTATTCTTTATAGAGAATTTACATTGACCATTTCTGATGTAATGTGATGACCATCTCATCACATTCTTATATCCCAAATCCCCCAAGGCTTTTAATGACATTTGGAATAATGTTCCAACCCTTCACCTTAGCTTGAATGAATCTACATGATTTCAATCCTGATTATTTCTCTGAAATCAGTCCCTGCTTCTGTGCCAGGCTTAGAATACAATGGACTTCTTGCTCTTTATCAAATATGACAATTATTAATTCATTTCAAGAACTTTGCTCTTAATGTTTCCTTCACTTGTGTGTTCTTCATCCAGACATTTCTATGGTTTGTTCTCAAATTTTGTTCAAATTTTTGTTTAAATGTCACCTTCTAGCTCCTCTATCTTAAACGGTAGTTATGGTGGCTCTCTCTCCTTATCTTACTCAATTTTTCTTCATAGCATATGTCATTACTTGCCATTTTGTTATGCATTTATTTGTTTGATTTACTCATTATCTCTTTTGTGCAATTGAATGTAAACTCCATTAGATCAGAATCTTGTCTATTTTGTTCATTTTGTACATCCAATGCCTAAAGCACACAATAACACTCAATAAATATCCCATTAAGTAATACTGAATAAATGTATCTTTGTATAGTACAATATTATTGTCAGATTATTTTAAATGATTTAAAGTACAGTAATTAGGGCTTAGTTTATCCAAATACACCAGGATCTTTGAAGAGGAGGAAATTTTTATTTTATATCCCATAGTATCATGACAATATACTTATGATTCAGTCTATATCTCTTGCATTGGATGTGGCTTTGATCTATTAATAGTAATATCTGCTTTCAATATCTTCTCTTGGACTATTACTTAACTAATCTTGGTATTCTATTTTCAATGACAAAATATAAATTTCCCAGACTTTGTTGTGGAAAATAATACATTTCCAGGTGTCAGGAAAGTCCTGGAGAGAAGTAAAAGACAAATCCAATGACTGCTATAGAACTTCAATGCTTCATTTGCAATCATAACTTTCCCTAGGATTCCACACTTGACTCACAAGCAAGGACATTTTCATACACATAACAAATATAAGCTAGTTGTACAAAGAGACTAGAAAATTGTTTTTGTGAATTAGGTGCTTGAACAAATCTTAACCACTTTATTTTTAACCATTTATTGCTCTATGAAACTGACACCCCAGCCTAGAAAGGGGAACTGGGAGTGGAGAAGTGTGTGAATGCATGTGAAAGAGGCAGTTCCAGAAGGAACCAAAGCAGGGAGTGAAGTGTGGGGGCCACAGGCCTCTTAGCGTATACCATACACTCCGAGCGAAGTGTGGGATCAACCGGGACTAATGGCGAATGCCTTCCAGGGCTACTGCATATGGCTTAGGGAGGCACCTCACAATTTAGTGATCGTGGTGGCCCGGGTTTGGGGCTCATGCAAACCCTCCATTAAAGCTAAGTGGTGTCTGAAAACTCCCGCGGAGGAGGTGGACTAATTGGTCTGAAGCAAAAGTGAGAGTGAATGTGTTGTGCTGTAACAGGGAGGACATGGGAGGGAAGTCATCAAAACCCATCCCATTAGAATGTATGTTAAAGAACTTTATGAAAGGTTAAAGGCGGGATTATGGGATCAAGTTGATCCCCCAGAGGTTGAGAACTCTCTGTGAAATAGAATGGCCCTCTTTTCGTATTGAATGGCCGGCCAAAGGAACAATAGATAGGGAAACAATTGATCATGTATTTAAGGTGGTGACTTGGGTCGGGGTACAGCCAGAGCACCCAGACCAATTTCCTTATATTGACTCATGGCTAAATATAGTCCAAACTCAGCCTGTGTGGCTGTAGCCCTGCTTAGCAGCTTATTGCAAAACACTCATGTCCTGAGCTGAGCCTACAGTGAAAGAAAAATCAGCTTCGCTGTCAGCCACCAAAACAAAGGGAAAGCCACAGGAAAAACCACTTTTGCAGGAACTGCCAGAAGAGATAGAAATTCTTCCTCCATATATCTCAATCTACCCCCCTTTACTGAGGCCAATGGCCCCCAAGGAGTCAGATTCAGATGGTGACATGCCCTGAGTCCCACCCCAAAAGGAAAGATTGGAGCCCCAAGAGGTTAAGAGGGAAAGTCAAGATGATCAAGCGGGCTGCCTCTAAACTGGTCATGCCCAGGCTATGCAAATGCCTCTCAGGGAGGTGCAGGGACCCATGTATTATGATGAACAGGGTCAAGTCCAAGGGGGGCAATGGACCTTCTTCTACCAGCCTTTTCTGACCACTGATCTCCTAAACTGGAAACATTATATTCCCTCCTACATGGAGAAGCCCCAGGCCCTCATAGATCTAATGCAGTCCATCTTCCTGACACACAATCCAACTTGGCCAGGTTGCAAGCAGCTCCTCCTGACACTGTTTAATACTGAGGAGCACCAAAGGGTTACCCAGGCAGAAACCAGTGGGTTACCTCCACTGGCTAGAAACCAATGCACCAGAAGGCACATTTAATGTCCAGACATATGCTCAAGGTCAGTTCCCAGAAACAGATCCTCACTGGGACCCGAATAATGCAACCCAGTTTCAGCACCTGCAGAGGTACTGAGAAGCACTGCTGCAAGGGCTGAGGGAAGGTGGAAAAAAGTCAATCAATATAGGAAAGATCTCAGAAGTGCTTCAGGGAATCTATGTGAGCCCTAGCCAGTTTTATGAGAGACTCTGAGGCGTTCCAACCTTACACTCCGTTTGAGCCTTAGGCCGCTGAAAATCAGTGCATGGTGAATATGGCATTTGTAGGACAAGCCCAGGGGGACATCAGGTGGAAGCTGCAAAAGCTAGAGGATTTTGCAGGTATGATTGCCACCCAGCTTTTAGAAGTGGCCTCCAAGGTGTACGTTAACCACAACCAGGAGGCTAAAAGGGAGGCTGAGCGGAGGCTCAGGAAAAAGGCTGATCTGCTAGTGGCAGCCCTCACAGAAAGGGAAACTAGCATCACAAGGGATGCAGATGCAGATGCCGATGCAGAAAGGGCCAGGTTGGACAGAGACCTGAAAGTCACTCAAGGCTAGGTAGGGATCAACGTGCACAAGGCAAAAAGAAGGGACACTGGAAAAACTAGTGTCCACAGAGCAGTGAAGAAAATGGCCAGGGCTGTGAAATGAAAAGGCCACCAGTCAAAGTCTTGCTGCACCCTGAGGGAGTCAGACACTGACTTTATTGGGCTGGTGGAGACTGAAGAATATGAAGACTAGGCCAGACTAGGCTCCATCTCCTTAGGCCCCCAGGAGCCCATGGTCACAGTGGAAATAGGGGACCAACTAATGGACTTTATGGTAGACACCAGGGCTGAACACTCGGTAGTAACCTGGCCCATAGGGCCACTATCCAAAAAACATATGACTGTTGTTGGGGCCACTGGGGTCCCAGAGAAGAGGCCATTTTGTCAGCCAAGGAGGTGTGTCATAGGAGGACAAAAAATCCAGCATGAGTTCCAAACCTCCCAAATTGCCCAGTCCCCCTGCTGGGAAGAGACCTACTCCAAAAACTGCAAGCGCTGATTGCTTTTGGGCCACAAGGGGATATGACTTTAAAACTGACTTACCCAAAGGCCATGGTATTAACTCTTACCATCCCACAGACTGAGGAATGGAGACTATACACAAAAGAGTCACCAGAACTGGGAATAAATGAACTGCATGAGCTATTTTATAGGATTCCTGGAGTATAGGCTGAAGATAACCCACCTGGGCTGCCTGAAAATCAAGCGTCAGTGGTAGTAGAGTTAAAACCAGGGGCAACTCCAGTTCCGCTTCACCAATACCCACTTTTCCAAGAAGACATATGGGACATTCACAAACACTTAGAATGGCTCTTCAAACATGGAATCTTAGTCAAATGCCAGTCACCCTGGAACACTCCACTCTTGCTGGTACAGAAACCATCTGGTGAATATAGACCGGTGCAGGACTTACGCGCTATAACCAGGCTACTGTAACCATCTACCCAGTGGTACCAAACTCATATACTTTAATGGGATTTATTCCAGCAAGTGCTACCTGGTTTACTTACTTAGATCTGAAAGATGCATTTTTCTGTCTTCACCTAGCACCAGTTAGCCCATCTTTTCATTTCACTGGGTGATTCACAGTTCACCTAGACAAGACTCCCACGAGGGTTCAAAAACTCTCTCACAATCTTTGAAGAAGCACTGGCTTCAGACCTCAAGGCCTACACCCTGCCAAATTATAACTGTGCCTTGCTGGAATATATAGATGACCTTCTTCTGGCAGTCCCAACCCAAAAGGACTGCTTCCAAGGAACCCAAGACCTACTGTACCTTCTGTGGAAAGCTGGATATAAGGTGTTCAGGAAAAAGGCTCAAATCTAAGAAAAGTCCAGTATTTAGGCTTCATAGTAAGCCAAAGAGAACGCTGGCTCAGCCTTGAACAAAAGCAGGCTGTTTGTGTGCTTCCAACTCCAACCACCTGGTGTCAAATAAGAATTCTTGGGAGCAGCAGGGTTCTGCTGTATCTGGATCCCAAATTTTGCAGTAATGGCCAAGCCCTTACCTGAAGCCACAAAGCAGGGGGAAAGGGAGCCCCTCCTCTGGGAGGCTGACCAGGAGAGGACATTCAAGCAAATCAAGGAAGGCTTAACTCAGTCCCCAGCCTTAGGACTGCCAGATATAACTAAGCCTTTTTTTTCTATATATCCGTGAATGAAAAGGAATGGCTATACGGGTCCTGACTCAAGTCATGGGATCATGGCATCGCCAGTGGCATACTCATCCAAGCAGCTAGACACCATAGCACTAGGGTGGCCTCCTTGCCTCAGGGCACTAACTGACTTTGCCCTATTGGCACAAGAAGCTGACGAACTGACTGTAGGGCAACAACTGACCATCTGGGTACCGCACTTGGTTATAACATTAATGGACCAGAGAGGGCATCATTGGTTATCAAATCCAAGGATGACCCAGTAACAGGGTCTCCTATGTGAAAATCCTTATATAACTCTGGAAACGGTAAATACCCTTAACCCAGCCACCTTGCTCCTGATAGAGTTGGGAGCCCCCCTTCATGACTGTGTGGAAACAGTAGACAAGGTGTTCTCAAGCCAGGGAGACCTTACAGACCAAACCCTCAGAGAACCAGGTGTTGAATACTTCACAGATGGGAGCTGTTTTATACTGGGTGGGGTCCGCTGAGCTGGGTATATGGTGGTAACATTGGACTCAGTAGTGGAGGTTCAGCCTCTGCCTACAGAGGCAGAGCTAATAGCCCTGACATGAGCTCTTTTGCTGGCAAAAGACAAAAAGATCAATGTTTATACAGACTCCAAATATGCTTTTGCCATGTTGCATGTTCTTGGGGCTATATATAAAGAAAGAGGACCCTTAACTGCTAGGGACAAAGAAATAAAACACAAAGAAGAAATTCTGCAGCTCTTAGACGCTGTATGGGCCCCAGAGAAAGTGGCCATTATGCACTGCAGGAGTCACCAAAAGGCAGGAAAACTAGAGACTATGGGAAACAGAAAGGCAGACAGGGAGGCCAAATGGGCAACAATGACTACACTGCATTTTAAGAAAGAAACCCTAGATATGCCTCTCCTCCCAGATCCCTCCCTCCCAGAGGTCTCAAGTTATTCTTCAAATGAGAAGGCCTGGTTTGCCTGAGAATCTGGAAAGTACATTGAAGGAGAATGGTGGAAATTCTCCAATGGGGGACTAGCTATCCCTGAAATGGGAGTTTCAAGTTTGTAAGACAATTCCATTAAGGAACTCATATGGGGAAAATGGCACTAGAAATGCTACTATGTGCCATGGCTCACTGCCATCACCCAAGACATTTGTAAACAATGTCTAACTTGTGCCCAGAACAACCCAAGACAAGGGCCCACTTGGCCCCCCGGGAATTCAGGAAATGGGGGCCACACCCTGTGAAAACCTACTTGCAGATTTCACAAGATGCCCCAAATGAGGGGCTACCAGTACATGCTGGTGCTCGTCTGCAACTTCTCGGGATGGGTCGAAGCTTTCCCCACTAGAACAGAGAGAGCATGAGAAGTGACTAAAGTATTGTTAAGATACATTATCCCCAGATTTGGACTGCCCCTAACTCTAGGGTCAGACAATGGTCTGGCATTTGTAGCTGAAATAGTTCAAGAACTAACACGGCTGTTAAAAATAAAATGAAAATTACACAGCCTACCGGCTGCAGAGCTCAGGAAAGGTGAAGCACATGAACTGGACACTCAAACAGCTACTGAAAAAATATTGTCAAGAAACTCATCTAAGATGGGATCAGATCCTGCCCATGGTCCTCCTCTGAGTCTGATGCACCCCCAACAAACAAACTGGGTATTCTACCTAAGAGACCTTGTTCAGCCAGCCACCCCCTATCATAGGTCAAATTAAGGGTGATCTCTGTGAACTAGGGAAATTGACCTTAAGGAGACAAATGCAGGCTTTAGGGATAGTCATGCAAGAAATCCATGGCTGAGTACGGGAAAGAATGCCCATAAGCCTAACAGAACCAGCGAACCCATTTAAACCTGGAGACTGTTTGGGTTAAGCAATGGAATCCAACCACTTTGGGACCCATATGGGATGGGCTCCATACTATAATCTTGTCCACTCCCACTGCTGTTAAAGTTGCAGGAATTGTGCCTTGGATTTACCACAGTTGACTGAAACCGGAAGCTCGAGACAAATGGACCAGCCATTGGGACCCAAACCATCCCCCAGGTTGATCCTGTGTTGAGACTGAGTCGCCAGTGGAGACAACAACAGCCCTGCTCTAGTCACCCTGGAAGCTGACTAGTCTATGCATGGCCAAAGCTTGAGTCATCATCAGGGAAGTAAATGTGGCTAGAAATATTGAGCCTAGTAATTTTCCTTGTAACACTAGTTGTTTTACTATTGTCCTGTTGCTTTGCTCAACCCCCTCCTCTGGGTAAACACCTCTTTTGTGCCTGCTGGGTATGAGTATGCTACTCTTTACCTTATTATTGCTGGTCCCCTTATCTATGTTAAACGGAGAACTCTAAGAGGTATGCACTCATACTACATGGTCAGGAAGCACTATAAACCAGAACTCTATTATACCATACTTATTGTGAGTGTATTGGAACCCACCTAGGAAATTGTACTCACAACCAGACCACCTACTCAATTTGTGACCCAGGAAATAACCAGCCTTATGTGTGTTATGACCCTAGATTCTTACCTGGGACGTGGTTCGAAATCTGTGACGGGTCAGAAGAGGGAGCCCTTTTAAACGAAAACAAGGTACCCCCCTTTCCACAAAGGAACCATATCCTTGTACTTAAATATTTGCCAGGCAACGTTCAGAGACTCAACCTTTCCTGTAGGAACTTGTTGTAAAAGTGTTAGAACTCCCCCGGCTTGCTCCACCTGGGACTGCGCAACATGGGCTACTAAATAAAGGCAGGTCATGTTTACCCAAATACCAGCAGACCCAGACTGTAAAGCAAATGCTTGCAGTCTTGTAAATTTCACCATCTTAAAGCCAAACATACAGATACAGACTACAGGAATAGAAGCACCAATAGGATACTCCTATTTAACCAAAAATCAAGAGGGAAAAACTGTCTTTAAAAATGTTATTTTTACATATCATGAAGAAAATCCAGACCTGTTCAACAATTCAGAGTTTTC
Organism: Homo sapiens; assembly: GCF_000001405.40. Classification (NCBI taxonomy): domain Eukaryota; kingdom Metazoa; phylum Chordata; class Mammalia; order Primates; family Hominidae; genus Homo; species Homo sapiens. The sequence continues at coordinate 120,054,657 of NC_000007.14, read as the reverse complement.
AAGTCATTCTATGAGCATATCAACCAGAAGTTTCCTGAGCCCCCTCCTTTGGCCGGAAATCTGTTTGCCCAACTAGCTGAAAACACAGCTAGCAGTTTACAGGACTCCTCATGCTATGTTTGCGTAAGAACCAACATGGGGGATCAATGGCCATGGAAAGCAAGACAGCTAATGCCCCAAGATAACTTCACTCTGTCTCCTCTCCTGAACCAACGCGCACGAGCTCGAGTGTCTGGCTCTTAAAAACCTCTATTATCAGAAGATTCTGCATTGCTCACTGGGGAAAACCCTTTACAGACCCAGCAGGAGAATTAACTTGCCTAGGACACCAATATTACAATGAAATGCTAGGAAAAACTTCATGGCAGGGCAAAAATAATTCCACATCACCTCATCCCAGCCCCTTCTCCTGTTTCCCTTCTTTAAACCACTCTTGGTACCAACTTGAAGCTCCAAATACCTGGCAGGCACCCTCTGGCCTCTACTGGATCTATGGGCCAAGCGAATATCAGCAACTGCCAGCAAAATGGACAGTGGTTTGTGTACTAAGGACAATTAGACTGTCCTTCTTTCCAATCCCTCTAAAGCAAGGAGGAGCCTTAGGGTACCCTGTCTACGATGAAACTAAAAAGAGAGATAAAAGGAGTAAAACCACAGGGAATTGGAAGGATGACAAATGGCCCCCTGAAAGAATAATCCAATATTATGGACCAGCCACTTGGGGGGAAGATGGAATGTATGGCCGCACCCCTATTTACATGTTCAACCACATCATAGAGTTACAGGCAGTGCTTGAAATCATTACTAATGACACTGCAAGGACCTTAAATCTAATCGTCCAGCAAGCCACAAAAATGAGAAATGCTATTTATCAAAATAGACTGGCCTTAGATTACCTCCTAGCCCAGAAGGGAGGGGTATGCAGGAAGTTCAATCTAACTAATTGCTGCCTAGAAATTTATGACAATGGGAAGTCATCGAAGATATAACTGCCAAAATCCAAAAATTAGCCCATGTTCGAGTCCAGACTTGGAAAGGATGGTCTCCTGATTCTCTCTTTTGAGGCTGGTTCTCATCCCTTGGAGGATTTAAAACTCTAATAAGAATAGTTCTGGCCATACTAGGAAGTTGCTTAATACTCCCTTGCCTCTTACCCCTCCTTGTTAAACACATTCAATCGACCACAGAGGCTTGTGTAACCAGGCAAACTACCACTCAACTAATGGCTCTAACTAAATATCAACCTTTGCCAAATGAAGAAAATCTACCATTACATGAAGAATTAATTAATAGTGATGCTTTCTATTAAACCTCATTTGTAAAAAGCATCAAAGCGGGGAATGAAGCAGAAGTTAAAAGAGAAAAACAAGTTTTTCCTGTACTTGGCTGAATCACTCCAAGGCCAGCAATAGGCAGGGCCCTGGCCGAGACATGATAACGCTATCCAGGAAGACAGAGTCCACAGGAATGAGTCCCAGAGACTTTCCTAACACGCCATCAGAGCAAGGACAAGAAAAACAAATTCCTTTACTATCTCCTCATCCCTCTACTGTTTCTCAATTTCCCAAGTTTTGTAAATTCCTGTTTTTCCTTCAATGCAGCTGCAAGGTCACAAGCTATGCTTGGGTTACGAAACCCGTCACAGTCTGATTAATTGACTTTGTTCTGCTTCTGTAAGCTTGCTTGCCTGCCCCACGAGTTTTGCACCATTAAGTTCCCACCGCGCCATTCAAACCAGCCAACCCCCTTTCAGAAGTGTGTATAAAAGTCAAGTGTATCTTTGTTCAGGGCTCAGCCTTTGGATGTTAATCTGCTGGGCCAGTGACCACTTAATAAAATATTCCTGTTTCACCCATTGGTCTCTACGTTTCTCTGATTCCCGCAACAACATCTATATATACATACAACTACATACAACTGTTTTATATATATACACACATTATATATACACACACAACTGTTATATATACTTCGAGACATAAATATGCATACATACATAGCCACACATTTATCTGCCATTTCCTCTCTTTACTTATTTTACCTTAGATTGTTTTTTCCATACCTGCACACATAAATCTACTTTAGTCCTACTAATTAGTAAATAACAACGTATTGCATGGGATTGTCTTAATGTATTCAGCAAGTCTATTGATTTTAGGTTGTTTCCAATGTCGCTACTGAAAACAATCCAACAGCAAGTATTTATATATAAGTCTTCTTCTGCATATGGGTCAGTATAAACTTTAGCATACTTATTAGTAATTCACTGCTTACAAATTCATAAGAACTTCTGCATATATGTTTCTAATCTTTAGCTTTTAAAAAATCAGTTATTTCCTAATGTCTTTTAAGAGATGTAATTATTTGATTGCTTTCAACTTATAAAAGAGAAGGCTTTAAACTTCTTGTTAATACTCACACTTAACCTTGAGTGGACATCACTCTACTTCTATTTATTGCACTGAAACAAGAGGAAATTTTAGATAACAATGTCATGTCTATATCGTGACTGTTCTTTTTTTACAGTTGTAACAGAGTTCTTTATAAGAGCATACAATGATCTGTTTTCAAGGATAAAGCTGTTCTTTTCTGAGAATAAACTCCCAGATTTCAATGTAAATATTATTATATAAGAGAATGGGAAATATGTTTTTAGAATTTTTTTTATAGTTCTGGAGAACTGTCATTCAAATTCCCCTGAGTCATTCCAAAACTTGCTGAATTTATGATCTGAGGAGTTCTTCAAATTTCAGCATTTCTTACCAGATTCTTTTTACTGTAAGTATAAGATCAACTGAGACTTTTGTCTGTCTTCTACTCCTGGGTTCTTGCTCTTTGATTTTGTATCCCCTAGGGGACTAATTTCCTCTTCTTTACACTGAGATTATGCTCCTTTGCTGCCCTTAATCTACCCTGTTTGCACTTTCTTCTTCCTTTAAAAAATATCTACTCTTTTTGGTAATGATTTTATAATATAATTTTTATTTTGTGGAATTTTTTGATGTTACCAGGGACTTACTATGTGCCAGAGACTTATGATAAATAGCAGAGTGATTTGTTCCTATATTAATTTAGGTAGGAGAAAATGTAGACTTAGTGAAGTTGAAGATCTTTGTCCAGTGTCCACATGGCCTCTCTTTTAACCACAAATCTCAACCCACTGATGACCAAGTGCCATGCATTAACAATGAGTGATAAGAGAGAAGACTGCTGGGTTCAATTCCAGAGGTTGTTAGAGGCAAACCTCTCACTTTATTTCTCAAAGTTGTACTACATAGATGACTACAACATTTCATAAAGATTTTCTGTTTGGGGAGCCAGGAACCCCTCTTGGTTTTCAAGCCCAGATGGCCATAGTAAATTGTCTATGATTCACAGCAAAGAAACTAATCCTGTATATAGAACCTACACAGGAACAAGATGTGCTCCACTTGTTAGTCTCCATTCTGACTTGATGAGTTAGCTTTTGGAAAAATGTAATTTATGAAGTAGATATATTTCATGAACTAAAATAACTATGTGTTAGGTATGGTATGCAAATTAAGCATATATATCCATATATATCCTATATAAATATGGAGTGATATGTAGATATAAACATAAGCATAGACACGCACAAAAAAGACATAGTACGGAACAGTGGTTGAAAGCTTGGCTTCTGAGTCAGACTGCATTCTGTGACAATTTTCTTCACTTACAAATTAATTTTATTTTCATCTTCAGTGCATTTAAAGGCAGAACAAAACAACCCTGCTCCCCATTCCCCTGCAAAAAAGAAAAAAAAAAGGAAAAGAAAAAAGAAAAAAAATCTTTGTTTTTGTTTTTGAGATGGGAGTCTCACTCTGTCACTCAGGCTGGAGTGCAGTGGCCTGATCTTAGCTCACTGCAACCTCTGTCTCCCATGTTTAAGCAATTCTCTGTCTCAGCCTCCTGAGTACCTGAGATTACAGGCACCTGCCACCATGCCTGACTACTTTTTGTATTTTTAGTAGAGATGGGGTTTCACCATCTTGGCCAGGCTGGTCTTGAATTCCTGACCTCATGATCCACCCACCTTGGCCCACCAAAGTGCTGGGATTACAGGCAAGAGCCACGGTGCCCATCAGAAAAAAAAAAAAAAAAAAAAAATATATATATATATATATGTATATATGTATACATATATGTGTGTATATATATGTATATTTGAAGCCTAATAGTGTGCATTCAAATCAGAGCCCTATTACATATTAGGAATATCATCTTCTATTGCATTTATTTGTTCCTCACTTCTTAATCTGTAAAGTGGGAATAAAATTCCATTTAACTCAGATACTTGTGAGGAATGAATAAGAGTGTAACTCAGAACATTACCTGGTATGTATAAGAACTGAATAACTGTAGAAGTGTTAGATATTCTTGTTCAGTCTGTTCAGAAACCTAGAAACAGAAAGGGTTCTATTTATTGAGGACTTTTTGGGATCAGCATCTGGTTCATAAAAGCACGGCTTACTAATTCAGTATAGGTGCTTTCTCTCAGCTTGAATATGAATGAACATACGAAGGCTTAAACTAAAGTCCTTTGACAATGTTAACTCCAGAATTCCAATAGCAAATGAGACAACTACTTACAAAACAAAAACAAAATAAAAAAGAAAGATATGTGATTTAAATATAGTTATCAGTTGAAAACAAAGAATAAACATCAGCAGAAATAGGCTACATGAATGAAAAACTAAGTAAGGCACTGTTTCTGCAAGGTAGTGAAGATCAACCTAAAGTCAAATGAAGTTTTATGTGTTTGTTCAATGTCATCAATACTCTACCCTCTTAAATGTTATATCCCGCAGAAGCAGTAATAAGAGTTCCAAGTGGAACCCACTGAGTAGTTATTGCTGGAAATAAATTTAATCTGATAAGAATGTGATAATCAGAAATGTCCTCATAGCTTATCTGATATTGACTAAGTGATCACCATGGGGCTCCAGTTAACTATCACTGATTGGAATTCATAGTAAGCCCCAATAAATCTTTGACTATTTCCAGCAGTGTAATCAAGATAATTTTTTTAAATTTACATATTTATAGCTTGAAAATTGTAAGGACATTATATACTTTTACAAAGAAATGACACATCTAATACCTGTAATTAAATACTTTTAGCATTTTCTCATCATTAAAATTTTAAAAATATAACTTCTGGAAATTTATCATTCCAGGTAAAATTCTTGTTCTAAAATAATTAAATTTTGGAATAGCTTTGATGTTAGCTATTTTATATTTTACCATTTTAAAACGAAAACAATTTAAGCAAACTAGCAGCAGATCAATGTATTTTCATTGTAAAAAAGCAAATAGTCGAAAACTAAACAAGTATACATGATGCAAGGAAAAGCCCTACTTTAATTATCTAATCTTATACCAATTGGTAACAATAATAAAAAATTTGATATGAGTATGTCTATGCATTTGTATGTGTACATACATAGACACAAACATATATAATTTTTTGTAACATGTGGGATGAAATATATTAATACTTATGCATAATTTTCAAATCACTTTTTGTTTTTGCTTTTTTAAACTCTGTCCTCCTAGAACATTATTTTAGAACTCTTAGCTTTTGGAAAGACTTAATGATTTTGTAATTTTTACAAATGAATGCATCACACATGGTTTAACCATTCCCTAATCAGTGGATATTTATATTATGAGTAAAATGTAGCCATTATAAACAGTGTTTCAGTGAACATTCACACACCCACATAAATAGGTTAAATATTTCTGTAAAAATCAACTTAGATAAAATATCACTCTAATATCAATGTTAACTGAATATTAAGAATAATTTTTAAAAATAATCTAATAGGTGTATAGTTTTAATTTTTTTGGTTTGAATTGATTGTCACAAAAAAATTGCTGGTTTTCTTGAACATCTTTTTCTGTTTGTTGGCAAACTGTAGTTTGTTTCATAGTTTTTTAAATCAAGTATTTGTACCTTTCTTTTGTCCATTATTCTACTGATTAATTTACTCTATTTATTTTAGGAGGTTATTATATACTAAACTGTTGCCCTTTATATATGTTGTACATTTTTTCCCTAAAATATTGCTTGTCTATTAACTGTATTTATGACATTTTTAATATAAAAGATCTTTATTATTATGTAGGGTAATCTGTTGACTTTTTTTGTTGATAGCTTCTGAAATATTATTTGACTGGCTTTTCTAGCTAAAATCAAGTTGTGTGTCAGGAGCTCTGGATGAAATAATTCAACTCAGAGAGTGCTTTTATAAAGCAACTACAAATTAGTGAGTGGAATTATAATTTTTGTAACACTGATATTATATCAAAGGTATATCACACAACTAGGAAAAATATGTAGACTGGAAGGTGTGTTGTCACTGATCAGATATTGCCATTTGATGATATGTCTATGCAAATCTCACAACAGCTTGGCTCTGCTTAGCCATATTAGAATAATGATATGTTTTCTTTCATTTAAATGAATTAATGTTTGATATGTTAATTGCCAGAACTACAACAAAGCCACATTAAAAGAACATCTCAGTGTATTCTTTTTAGAGATAGCAACTTATAAAATATTGAATGGTAATAACCAGACAGAATTTATTCATATTTCTGTCTAATCTTTCATATGTTGTGCAAATTCTAAATCTATACATTATATAGAAAACAAAAATAAGTTCAGTGATGACAAATAAACATAAGGTGCTATCAATATATGTGTTCCTGTTCTTTAATTTAATATGTTGTTAATATTTACTTGGTGATAATCTTATGGGGGGTGGGGGGTGGGTCCTTGCTCCCAGAGCTCCCAAGATGGTGGCAGGCCACTTCCAAAATGGCAGCGGGCTGCTTCAAAGATGGTCGCAAGCCTTGTGTTCTCTGACCTGGGGTTCTTGGCCTCACGGATTCCAAAGAATGGAATCTTGGGCCATGCGGTGAGTGTTATAGCTCTATTAGAAGCCGTGGGTCACAGAAGAGAACCATGGAACCCAGTGACTAGTGTTCAGCTCAATTAGGGCAAACCCGGGCACTTAGCTGTGCAGGAACAATGGCGAGCCTTTAGCCAGATCAGGAGCAGCAATGGGCGCCTTGCTGGATCGGGAGCACAGCAGACACCCTGCCGGATCTGGAGGGATGGAAGGCAGTGGCGGGTCTCCGATGGCGGCAAACAGCAGTGGTGGATGGCAGTGAAAGCTCAGCTGGAGCCATAACAAACACGGACCAGAATGGACTGCAGTTGCAAGATTTAATAGAGTGAAAACAGAGCTCCCATACATACAAAGGGAGGGGATCCAAAGAGGGTAGCGTTGCCTGCTGGAATGCCTGGGTTTATATCCTGATCATTGGCCCTCACGCTGTGCTCTCAGGCAATAGATGATTGGCTATTTCTTTACCTCCTGTTTTTGCCTAATTAGCATTGTAGTGAGCTCTCTTTCCTACCTGATTGGTCGGGTATGAGGTAAGTTGCAAGCCCCCTGCTTAAAGGTGGATGCTGTCAACTTCCCGGCTAGGCTTAGGGATTCTTAGTCGGCCTAGGAAATCCAACTAGTCCTGTCTCTCAATAACAGGGAAGATATGAACTATATTCTTTGATAATTTGAAAATAGAGAAAACTGAGCTCAAATCCAGGTTATCTTATTCAAGATCTATATTTTTATTTGTTTTCTTTTGTTTTTCCATTGTGCAACAAAATAAGTCAAGTTAAAGGTCTTTTCATAAATTACTAAAATAATTTGATCATTGATTCAATCAAAGCAAAAAATCATGTCAAAGTTGAATAGTCAAGGAATTTTTCACTCAAGGCTATTTCAATAGGGGAGGGAGATGAGAACTAAGTCTGATCTCAACTCCGCTGAAGTAGAAGGCTATAGGGTTTTCAAAGGTTGGAAGGAGCTAGAAGAAATTTATTATAGGATATGATACAACATTGGCCATCTGTGTATACTAATTGGCTTCATACAAAGCAAAGTAAACTTCTCATAACTTTATGACAGAAGGTAGTTTTACAACTTTTAGCAAGACTTCTACGGAAGTTATGCTCTTCTTCTCCCATAAAAATTGGGGGATACGTACTATCTTCTTTCATGAGTACATTTCAAAGAGTGGTTCTCAGGTCTGTGAGAAAGATATTTCTGGGTTGTAAAACTGGCAAGAAGCTTTTAAAGAAAGATTTACATCTCAAAGAGGCAGAGAAAAAACTTACACTTGCAAGTTTCCTGAAGTAAATGCTATAAATAAAGGAAGGTCAGGAGCCTATAATCAAGAAAAAGACAAGTTTACTCAAGCTGAAGAGGAAATTTAAGGCCATTTTGATCAATTCCAATTGAACATCTAATAGTCAAAGCAGATCTTCCAAATGGAGCTCCCTGTAATCTCACATGAGATTTTCCAACCCCTTGTGAGAGTTTTTTAAATATCAGCTACATTTAGAGATGTTAAATGCACATTGAATTTCAGTAATTGAAAGAGTATAGAGTTTTTTTAGATTGAGTGAGTGTATTTGCTAGAATGTGTCTTTCACAGAGTGTGGAACTGAAAAGTTTTTTTAAAAAGGTAATGTATCCTAAATGAAGGTTCTTCAATTTTAAAACTGTGCAAGCTCTGCCATTTGTGTATACTTAAACAAAAGGTGGCTGTGGTATTGTACTTTTAATAATCTTATGCACTCAAGCCTATCTTTTTCCTTCACAATTGCTTTTCAGCCAAGTAAAATTCTTCGATTTTATTTTGAGCTTTTTTACTGCCACAGATGCTAAAATCTAACTTCCTGTACTTTTTCACTAGATTGAAATTTATATTGATGGTGTTGGAATGGTAATTTTTCATTGATTATGGATGATTTAATAAATAGTAAATTATTGAAATATATCCTCAATAGTAAATTTAGTATTCACTAGCAAATGTCTAAGAGATGCCATATCAAAAATAATGTGTTGGAAATGACACCTCTCCAGGGCATTGCTTAAAAATATACTGAAAAGTTCACAACATTCATTGCAGCAATTACCATAATGATTGTGCCTTTAAATGTGTCTTTACTTTTAAATCTTTGGGCAATTAGCTTTAACAATGCCAACATATTTTCAATTATCAAGCACCACCACATTTTTCTAAGCTATTATAAAATTCTAGTACCTTACAGTGAAAAATATATTAATACATTAAATTAGAAAGAAAGAACAATAAGTGGATATATTCATATCCTGTAATACAAAAGATAGAAATTGTCAAGGGGATGAAACAACTATTTTAATTTTACTTAATGTTTGTTTATAGCTATTTTAATTTCATGACATTATATGATGTCTATGGAAAAGTTTTAACGAGACGTGCTTCCAATATTAATGACAGGCAAAGAGCAAAATTGCTGTCTTATTTTATTAAGATGTCACTGTGTCACATTCTCTGTAACTGGAATATATTTTTCAAAGTTCTAGTTCTTACATAACAAAGTAAAACTTGTCTCCTTACTTCTGGCTTAGAGTTTACCTGCATGTAACTTGAATATATTTTTCAAAGTTGCAGTCCTTACATAACAAAGTAAAACTTGCCGCCTTACTTCTGACTTAGAGTTTACCTGCCTGAGTGAAATATTGGTCAGGGTGAGTTGGAGGCTGTGGTAGTTAAAAGAGCATGGTCTGATTATCAATTGAATGCATGATTTTGACTTTTTTGTATGTTATTGTATAACTCACTGAGCTAACTCAAACAACAAGAAAAGATATTTTGTCACTTCATAACTGGAGTATTGCAATTTAACTTAATTGCAAATAAATTAGCAACTGAGATAAACATACAGTAAACAGTAAGAATATCCCACATGTTAAGCAAAGTAAAAATAGGTATACGTAGAATATAAACAGAATATTGTTCTCTTATTTCATTGGGGGAACTGGCTCTTCATTCATTCTTTAAAACAAACATTTTCTATTTAATTCTAAGACTCATCTTTATCTCCTTTTTTAATATCTTGGCGATATTAATACCATATTTGACATAGGAAGAAGGACATAGCTGTCAACTGATATGTATATAATTATAATACAAGCAAGAACACAAAACTCCTATACTTTGTTGGCAACACTCTGGAGAAGTAAACAGATTTTTTTATAAAGGTTCAAAAAGAGAAATAAAATCAAATATAAGAAAAAAGTCACAATTCACAATGGCATCCAATATAGAGTAGATGGTAAGGAGGAAGTGAAGAGAAAGAGAAAGAAGGAGAGGGAACACACAAAATTAGGTGATTCAATTTTATATACATGCACTTTGTTTAAGTTATATGTGAGTAATTTTGAAGGGTCCACTTAAGTTTTGTTGCTATTTTAGAATTAACTTTAGTATACATAATGAGAATATGTGTTACTTTCCTGTAATTAACAGTATGTTGCAAAGTGATAGAAAACTTTGTTCATTAGCACAAAGCTCAATAATATAAAACAGCATCTGGCCAGTAGTTGCTAATGCAGTACCTCACAACTATACATAAATTAATGTGTTAAGCATAAAAAACAATAGAAATTCAAAATGCCCTCAAAATTGAGGACTTACAGTAAATCAAATATAAAACTTTGAATGAATTTCCAGTAGTTATAAATTTGATAGACAGTGCTTTTATAATTTTGAATTGCGATTTATAAATACAATGAGAGAATAAACAGACAAATCAATGGAAAGTACAGCAGACCCAACTTGATGATATATTGAAGTTCTTCGTGCCCTCAAAGGGCCCCTAAAGTCATCCCCACCCCTTCTCTGGTCTTATTCTCTGTATGACCTGTTCAATATTACTATTGATTAGAGTTTCCTATTGTAAGATTCAAGATGAATGAACTATATCTGTTTTTTTGATAAGCATGTTTTTGAGATTTTTTTCACGTTGATTCATAATAGGTATATTAGTCTGTTTTTATGCTGCTAATAAAGATACACCTGAGACTGGGAAGAAAAAGAGGTTTAATTAGACTTACAGTTCCACATCGCTGGGGAGGCCTCAGAATCATGGTGGGAGGCAAAAGACACTTCTCACATGGTGGGAGCAAGAGAGAAAAAGGAAGAAGTAAAAGTGGAAACCCCTGATATACCCATCAGATCTTGTGAGACTCATTCACTATGATGAGAACAGTACAGGAAAGACCAGTCCCCATGATTCAATTACCTCCTGCTGGTTCCCTCCCACAACATGTGGGAATTCTTGGAGATACAATTCGAGTTGAGAATGGGGTGGGGAAAGAGCCAAACCACATCGTTCCACCCCTGATCCCTCCAAATCACATGTCCTCACATGTCAAAACCAATTATGCTGTCCCAACAGTCCCCCAAAGTCTTAACTCATTTCAGCATTAACTCAAAAGTTCATGGTCCAAAGTCTCATCTGAGACAAGGCAAGTCTCTTCTGCCTGTGAGCCTGTAAAATCAAAAGCAAGCTAGTTACTTCCTAGATACAATGAGATTACAGGTATTGGGTAAATACAGCCATTCCAAATAGGAGAAATTCGCCAAAACAAAGGGGCTATAGGGCCCATGCAAGTCTGAAATCCAATGGGGTGGTCAAATTTTAAAGCTCCAAAATGATCTCCTTTGACTCCAGGTCTCAAATCCAGGTCACGGTGATGCAAGAGGTGGGTTCCCACAGTCTGGGGTAGGTCTGCCTCTGTGGCTTTGCAGAGTATAGCCTCCCTCTGGCCTTGAGTGTCTGTGGCTTTTCCAAGTGCACAGTGCATGCTGTTGGTGGATCTACCATTCTGGGGTCTGGAGGATGGTGACCCTCTTCTCACAGCTCCACTAGGCAGGGCCCCAGTAGGGACTCTGTGTAGGGGCTCCAACCCCCCATTTCCCTTCCACACTGCCCTAGCAGCGTTTCTCCATGAGGACCTCACCCCTGCAGCAAACTTTTTCTTGGGCATCCAGGTATTTCTATACATCGTCTGAAATCTAGGCCAAGGTTACCAAACCTAAATTCTTGACTTCTGTGCACCTGAGGCTCAGCACCACATGGAAGCTGCAAAGGCTTGGGGCTTCCACCCTCTGAAGCCACACCCTGAACTGTACATTGGCCCTTTTCGACTATGGCTGGAGCAGCTGGGATGCAGGGCATCAAGTCCCCAGGCTGCACACAGCATGGGGACCCTGAGCCTGGCCCACGAAACCACTTTTTCCTCCTGGGCCCTCAGGCCTTTGATGGGAGGGGCTGCTGTGAAGGTCTCTGACATGACCTGGAGGCATTTTACCCATGGTCTTGGGGATTAACATTAGGGTCCTTACTACTTATGCAAATTTCTGAAACAGGCTTGAATTTATCCTCAGAAAATGTGTTTTTCTTTTCTATTGAATAGTCAGGCTACAAATTTTCCAAACTTTTATGCTCTGCTTTTCTTATAAAACTGAATGCCTTTAACGGCACCCAGGTCACCTCTTGAATGCATTGCTGCTTAGAAATTTCTTCCACAAAATATCCTAAATTATCTTTCTCAAGTTCAAAGTTCTACAAATCATGAGGGCAGGTGCAAAATATCACCAGTCTCTTTGCTAAAACACAACAAGAGTCACCTTTACTCCAGTTCCCAACAACTTCCCCACCTTAATCTGAGACCACCACAGTCTGGACCTTATTGTCCATATTTCTATCAGCATTTTGATAGAAATGCTGATTCAACATTCAACAAGTCTTTAGGAGGTTCCAAACTTTCCCACATTTTCCTGTCTTCTTCTGAGCTCTCTAAACTGTTCCAACTTCAGCCTGTTTCCCAGTTCCAAATCCACTTCCACATTTTCTGGTATCTTCTCAGCAATGCCCCACTCTACTAGTACCAATTTACTGTATTAGCCTGTTTTCATGCTGCTGATAAAGACATACCTGAGACTGGGAAGAAAAAGAGTTTTAATTGGACTTGCAGTTCCACATGGCTGAGGAGGCCTCAGAATCATGGCATGAGGTAAAAGGCACTTCTTATATGGCAGCAGCAAGAGAAAATGAGGAAGAAGCAAAAGTGGAAAACCCTGATAAACCTGTCAGATCTCGTGAGACTCATTCACTATCACAATAACAGCACAGGAAAGACTGGCTTCCTTGATTCAACTACCTTCCCCTGGGTCCCTCCCACAACACGTGGGAATTCTGGGAGATACAACTGAAGTTCAGGTTTTGGTGCGGACACATCCAAACCATAACAATTGGGTAGTATTTTCCTGTTATTGCTTATTAGTATTCTATTCTTTGATTTGAATTTTTTAATTTTTTTCACACATTGCTGGACATTTGAACTGTTTTTAGTTGTCAGGTCCCATAAAAATGGTACTATACATTCTTATGAGTTTTTAGGTGGACAAGCTTTTATAAATACCTAGACTTGAAATCACTTATCATTTAATAAGTGTATGGTTTAATTTATTTAAAAAATCTGCTAGACTATTTTCTAGAATCATTATATCTTTGTGTATTTTCACAAACATTGTGTGAATTTTCTAGTTTTTTCACATCTCTGGCAATCCTTTAAATTTTTGGTCTTTTAATTTTAGCAATTCTCACTAATGTAAAGTAGTATCCTTTGTTCCATCATGTGTGTTAATCTGACTTTCCCTGATTATTAGTGATGGTAAGTGTCTTTTCATGTATTTACAGAATATTTGCCTATCTTCTTTTGTGAAATGACTTTTTAAATCTTTTCTCACTTTTAAGACTTGCTTGTTTATCTTATTATTGAGTTATAGATGCTCTATATATTTTAAACATGTCTCCTTGAAAGATGTGTTTCCATTGTCTTTTTACTTCTATAGAGTCTAGTTAAAAGTTAGTGTTTTTGCATGGTTGTTCCACTTCATGTAATACTTTTTAATACTAAAAAGTATTGATTACTGATGCAGGGATTTGTGATGCTTCATCCATTTACTAGTTGATAGACATCTGGGTTGTTTTTGATTTATGCCAATTATGAATAAAGCTGCTACGAATACTCATGGAGAAATCTCTATGTGAACATGACATACTTTCAAATTTTTCTTATAGTAGTGTTCTGGTTCTATGTAGTAAGTATCATGTTGGACTTATAAGAAAAGTACTACATTGGCAGTAACATTTTACATTCCCACCAGCAATGAAAGAGATTTTCAATTATTTCAAATTATTGCCAATACTTGGTGATATGGTTTGGCTGTGTCTATACCCAAATCTCATCTTGAATTGTAGCTCCCACAATTTCCATGTGATGTGGTTAGGCTCTGTGTCCCCACCCAAATCTCATCTTGTAGCTCCCATAATTCCCACCTGTTGTGGGAGGGACTTGGTGGTAGATGATTAAATCATGGGGGTGAGTCTTTCCCATGCTGCTCACATGATAGTGAATGGGTCTCACCATATCTGATGGTTTTAAAAACGGGAGTTTCTCTGCACAAGCCCTGTCTTTGCCTGCTGCCATCCACATTAGATGTGACTTGCTCCTCCTTGCCTTCTGCCATGATTGTGAGGCCTCCCCAGCCATATGGAACTGTAAGTCCATTAAACCTCTTTCTTTTGTAAATTGCCCAGTCTTGAGTATGTCTTTATCAGCAGTGTGAAAATGGACTAATGTGGTAAATTGGTACCAGTATAGTGGGGTGCTGCTGAAAATATACCCAAAAATGTGGAAGCAAATTTGGAACTGGGTAACAGGCAGAGGTTGGAACAGTTTGGAGGACTCAGAAGAAGACAAGAAAATGTGGAAAATTTTGGAATTTCTTTGAGACTTGTTGAATGGCTTTGACCAAAATGCTGATAGTGATATGGACAATGAAGTCCAGGCTGAGGTTCTCTCAGATAGAAATGAGGCACTTGTTGGAAACTGCAGCAAAGGTGACTCTTGTTATGTATTAGCAAAGAGACTGGTGGCATTTTGCCCATGCCCCAGAGATTTGTGGAACTTCGAACTTGAGAGAGATGATTTAGGATTTAGATTATCTGGTGGAAGAAATTTCTAAGCAGCAAAGCATTCAAGAGGTGACTTGGGTGCTATTAAAGGCACTCAGTTTGGTAAAGAAAACAGAGCATAAAAGTTTGAAAAATTTGCAGCGTGACAATGTGATAGAAAAGAAAAACCCATTTTCTAAGGAGAAATTCAAGCTGGGTGCATAAATTTGCATAAGTAAGGAGGAGCTGAATATTAATTCACAAGACAATGGGGTAAATTTCTCCAGGGCATATCAGAGGTCTTCATGGCAACCACTTCCATCACAGGCATGGAGGTTTGGGAGAAAAAAAAATGGTTTTGTGAGCCAGGTCCAGGGTCCATCTGCTGTATGCTGTCTAGGGACTTGGTGCCCTGCATCCCAGTCATTCCAGCTGTGACTAAAAGGGGCCAAGGTACAGCATGGGCTGTTGCTTCACAGGGTGCAAGGTTCAAGCCTTGGCAGCTTCCACATGGTGTTGAGCCTGTTGGTGCACAGAAGTCAAGAATTTAGGTTTGAGAACCTTGGCCTATATTTCAGAAGATGTATGGATACTCCTGGATGCCGAGGCAAAAGTTTGCTGCAGGGGCGGGGCTCTCATGAAGAACCCCTGCTAGGGCAGTGTGGAAGGGAAATGTAGGGTTGGAGCCCCCATAAAGAGTTCCCACTAGGGCACTATCAAATGAAGCTGTGAGAAGAGGGCCACTGTCCTCCAGACCCCAGAATGGTAGATCCACCAACAGCTTGCACTATGCACCTGGAAAATCTCCAGACACTCAAGGCAAGCCTATGAAAACAGCCGGGAGGGAGATTGTACCATGCAAAGCCATAGAGACAGAGCTGCCCAAGACTAGGAGAACCTACCTGTTGCATCAGTGTGACATGGATGTTAGACATGGAGTCAAAGGAGATCATTTTGGAGCTTTAAGATCAGACTTGCATGAGGCCTGTATCCCCTTTGTTTGGGCCAATTTCTCTCATTTGGAATGGCTGTCTACCCAATGCCTATACCCCCATTGTATCTAGAAAGTAACTAATTTGCTTTTGATTTCACAGGCTCATAGGCAGAAGGGATTTTCCTTGTTTTAGATGAGTCTTTGGACTGTGGACTTTTGAGTTAATACTGAAATTAGTTGAGAATTTGGGGGACTGTTGAGAAGGCATGATTGCTCTTGAGATGTGAAGATATGAGATTTGGGAGGGGCCAGGGGTTGAATGATATGGCTTGGCTCTTTGTTTCCATTCAAATCTCATATTGTAGCTCCCATAATTCCCACCTGAGTGAGGTACCCAGCGGAAGATGATTGAATCATGGGGGTGGGTCTTTCTCATGCTGTTCTGGTGTTAGTGAATGGTTATTGCAAGTTATAATGGTTTTAAAACAGGAGTTTCTCTGCCCAAGCCATCTCTTTGCCTTTTGCCATCCATGTAAGGTATGACTTGCTCCTCCTTGCCTTCTGCCATGATTGTGAGGTTTCCCCAGCCATGTGGAACTGTAGGTCAATTAAACCTCATTATTTTGTAAATTGCCCAGGTCCTGGGTATGTCTTTATCAGCAGCATGAAAACGGACTGATACACCACATGTCATGGGAGGGACACAGTGTAAGGTAATTGAATCATGGGGCTGGGTCTTCCCATGCTGTTCTCATGATAGTGAATAAGTCTCATGAGATCTGATGGTTTTATAAAGAGGAGTTCCCCTGCACACGCTCTCTCAACTGCCACCATTCATGTAAGACTTGACTTTACTCCTCCTTGTGTTCCTCCATGATTGTAAGACCTCCCCAGCCATGTGAAACTGTGAATCCATTAAACATCTTTTCCTTGATAAATTACCTGGTCTTGGGTATGTCTTTATTAGCGATGTGAGAATAGATGAATATAGTAAATTGGAACCTGAATAGTGGGCGATGCTCAAAAAATACCTGAAAATGTGGAAGCAACTTTGGAACTGGGTAACAGGCACAGGTTGGGAAAGTTAGGAGTGTCAGAAGAAGACAGAAAAATGTGATAAAGTTTGGAACTGCCTAGAGACTTGTTGTGAATGGCTTTGACCAAAATGCTGATAATGATATGGACAATGAAATCCAAGCTGTGGTGGTCTCAGATGGAGATGAGGCACTTGTTGGGAACTGGAGTAAAGATTACTCTTGCTATGTTTTAGCAAAGAGACTGGTGACATTTTACTTCTGCACTAAAAACTTGTGGAACTTTGAACTTGAAATATATGATCTAGGGTGTCTGGCAGAACAAATGTCTAAGCAGCAAAGCATTCAAAAGGTGACTTGGGTGACATCAAAGGCATTTCATTTTAAAAGGGAAACAGCATATAATATCGGGAAATTTGCAGCCTGACAGTGTGATAGAAAAGAAAAAAAACAAATTTTCTGAGGAGAAATTCAAGCCAGCTAAGGATATTTGCCTAAGTAACAAGGAGCCAAACAGTTGCCAAGACAATGGGGAAAATGTCTCCAGAGGACGTCAAAGACCTTTGTGGCAGCCCATCCCATCACAGATCCAGAGGCCTAGAAGGAAAAAATGGTTTTGTGGACCAGGCACAGGACACCCCTGCTTTATGCAGGACTTGGTGACCTGCTTTCCAGCCTCTCTTGCTATGACTATAAGGGCCAATGTACATCTCAGGCTGTGGCTTCTGAGGGTGCAAGCCCGAAGCCTTGGAAACTTCCACATGGTATTGAGCTTGCAGGTGCCCAGAAATTAAGAATTGAGGTTTTGGAATCTCTGCCTAGATTTCAGAGATGCTTAGAAAAAAAACTTGAAACTAGATACTGTGAGTTCTTTAGCTGTGCTATTCTTTTTGAAAATTGTTTTGGTTATTCTAGGTTTTGGTATATCCTTCTTTTTTTTTTCTTAGATGGAGTCCACTCTGTCGCCCAGGCTGGAGTGCAGTGGCACCATCTCAGCTCACTGCAAGCTCCGCCTCCTGGTTGACTCCATTCTCCTGCCTCAGCCTCCCGAGTAGCAGGGACTACAGGCGCCTGCCACCACGCCTGGCTAATTTTTTATATTTTTTTAGTAGAGATGGGGTTTCACCATGTTAGCCAGGATGGTCTCTATCTCCTGACCTCCTGATCCACCTGCCTCAGCCTCCCAAAGTGCTGGGATTACAGGCGTGAGCCACCACGCCCTGCCATGTCCTTCTATAGTTAAAAATCAATCTTTCAATTTGTTAGAAATTGCCTGATGAGATTTAAAAAAAAATGTGTTACATCTTTAATTGGAATGCTATTTTAAGTAGTGTTGTCTCTTCTGCTTTCTTTCTTTCTTTCCTTCTCTCTCTTTCTTTTATTCTTTTGTTTTCTTTATTTTATTCATCTGTTTTAATTTGTGGGTTATGTATCTCTATATCTTATAACCTAACAACACAAGTATTTATTTTGCTGCTCAAAATAAATCTCTATGGCTTATAATCTAATAACACAAGAATTTATTTTGTTTCTCAAACTTCTGAGCTTTAGTTGTCAGGAACTTTTTCAAATTGTCTTCCTTGTTCTTTCTACAAGACCTCATTCTTTCTACAAGATCTCCTTTTTTTCAAATTGTCTTTGTTGTTCTTTCTACAAGACCTCATTCTTTTCTGAGCATTTTCTTAATTTCTGGCATCATAAGTTTTTTGTAAGTGAATCATATTTTTCTGCTTTATCCCTATTATTAACCAAACTATCCTACTTTCTTTTGCTGAAGAATGATGTTAAGAAATCACAATCTAGGCACTAGGTATATTCCTTGCTACTAGGGGTCATTGCTTCTGTATCCTGCAAATGGACCAAGCTAAGATTCTTATCTGTCTCTCTCACCCAAAGTGTCACCTTGAGAATTCTTTAATCTTTTTTCTTTACCTGCACATCCTTTTGTTCTGTTTTATAAAAGACAAAAGAATGTATGTATTTTTCCTATCAAAAGAGGAGATTGTCATGTTTTGGAATCTAGTATACTTGGTTTATTTGTGATTTCAGCTCTCTGAGATAAATATTTGTGGATTATGTGTTTTTCTCATTATTGAGGAGGAGAACAATATTCTATTTTGCTATATATTTCCCAAGTTAGCAGCCAAAATTTGGAAAATTTGTAGCCTTTATTTTAAAAAAAATTGTTTTACCCATCCCTCTTCATCTGGAAATCTAATAATTGTTATGTTTTTCTGTCTGATGTTGTCCCATAGATCGAGCCTCTGTTTTTTTCCTCATAATTTTTCTCTCTGTGTTTCTGTTTGAATATTTTATATTTGCCTTTAAGTTCACTAATCGTTTAGAAATGACCTTTACAGTATCTAACTTACTGTTAAGGTCCTACAGCTAATTTTTCATTTGAGATATAGTACTTTTCACCTTAAATTATATCTTGATTTCTTTTAAAATTTTTTATTTGTTCTCTTATCATGTTTACATTTTACCTTAAATCCTTGAACATATTTATACTAGTTATTCTGATGTCCTCATAATTCTAATACCTCTGCCATTTCTGAGTCTGTTTATATTGATTATGTTTATTCAAGTGACATCATCTACTGTGTCTTTGTCTATTTTTCCTTTTTGAACACCAGAAATAATAATGTTGGTGAGTGTTTGAATTTTATCATCAATTTGTAAAAAGTGTTGGCATTTTTTTTCATAGGTTGTTACTTTCATCTGTAAGTAACAACAGATGAGCTTAGTGATTTTGAGTCTTATTTTTCAGGTTCATTAAGGTGATACTCAACCACAGACACTGGGACATGTCAAAGATTTCTTGAGCTCTTTATTTGTCTATATCCCATTTCTTCCATATTTTGATCCACAAATTCTATCTACTTCAGCTTCCCCAACTTCTTTCTTGGTTTTATTACTTCAATGAGAACACTATGCTCTGCTTAAATTCCTCCTCCTTTGTGATGCAGTCCAGCAACTGCCTCAAAGCACAAAGTCTGGACAACTGATGTGCCTTTACATTTCCCTTTCCTCTCTTTCATAGCTCATAGCCCAGTCCTGCTTTTCATTGAATATCTGAGAATTGTTCAGTTTTATAGTTCTTCATTTCCCGTGTCAGTTATTCCATTATGGATGAAGTTGAGGTCCTTATAGCTTTTTTGAAAACTGGTCCCTTTTGCTATTAGTGATTACATAGTATAAATTGAAAGGAGAAATACATTTTCTCTATACTTCTTTTCTATCTGTATATTAAGGAAGACTTGTACAGTTCCTTGTCAGATGGGATGTCTTTCTTATGAAATTATGTTATAATGTATATTTATGTTTTATATAGACATATACATTCAATACCTGAAACAAAGTGATCCTCTTATGTTCTACTAGTTTAAGAGTGAATTAGGTACTTTTTTCTGGATGGATAAATAAGAATCCTTGTTTTTCAAAACTAATTCAATATGGCAAAAGATTACCATATTTTGCTTATATAAACAGATATTTTAAAAGTACCTCATAAAAACTACATTCAACTTTTTTCTTCACATGCAAGGTAATGCCCAATTACCTTGAGCAAAGGTTGAGGAAATGCAAATATTTTAATATGAGTAAAGCATTTTTATTTACTATTTTAAATATAACTGTAAACAGTTTCTTTCCTGCTCCATACTCTTAATAGGTTTTAATCTTTTATTCTAGCTTATCTCAGACTAAGAATCGTATAATTAAAGAAAAGTTTCTAATAAGAACCTACATCTCTATTACCCTGTGAGTGCTAACTACTCCCTCTCATAATTCTCAGCATCATGCCAGGTATATTGTCTGGAGTGCCAAGTCTAGGGTATAATTTCTACCCCAAGGTTCTAACCCACCTTTCCCAAAATGAGGTCTTGTCAAACAAAACACTTCCACTTAGCAAAAAAAAAACTTCCACAAAAAATTCCTAGTTTTTAAAGGATTTGAGATTAAATGAATAATAATAAAAGATAATATTTTAAGAAGTAATGTTGATTTCTTAATATTGAATAAACTGTGATATAGAAATACTCATTATTTATGCAAATCAATTATTTTGAATCATGAAAGGAAGCAGCTTTGTCATGACAGAAACCTATTACCGGTGCAGAGTGTCCGGGTTTTTGGTGCTTTGATTAAAGAACTGGACAAAATGCACAAAGAAAGCAAGAAAAGAATAAAGCAACAAAAGCAGAGATTTACTGAAAATGAAAGCACATTTCACAGGGTGGCAACAGGCCTGAGCAGGCGGCTCAAGGACCTAGTTACAGAATTTTCTGGGGTTTGAATACCCTCTAGAGGTTTCCCATTGGTTACTTGGTGTATACCATATGTAAATGAAGTACTGTCTTGTGATCAGTCTGATTGGTTGCAGAAAGTGACCAATCAGAGGCTAAAGTAAAGTTACAAAGTTATACTTCTATGCAAATAAAGACTTGGCCCATGAACAGCCCTGATTGGTTGCAGGAAGAAACCAATCAGAGGTACTTTCAGTTTTTCATCTGTCACACAGAAAAGGAGGAGAGGTTGCAAACGGAGTAGCCTGTGGTGCTTTTGTTACTTGGGCATGGAAATTTGGGGTTTTCCTTTTGATTTAGTTCTAGGAAGTCAGCCTGAATTGGCCTTAGGTTCCCTGACTCCGGACCCTATTCTCTTGCCTCAAAAGTGTCTCTGTTTCTTTCTTGATTTAACGGGTAGGGTTTTTTGTTTGGTTTGTTTGTTGTTTTCCCTTTAGACCTTTGATGAAGGCATACCCCAGCGCTAAAAGCAAGAAGTTACAGAATTGCTAATGTTATTGGGATGCATGTCTCTGGGAGTAATTTTTATTCAGTAAGCAAGTGTGAAGCATTAGTGCTGCTGGAGGCAAATGGGCCTCAGTCTATATCCAGAGTGCTCTCTAGTGCAGAAATGCAAAAGCATTAGAAAGACTGAAAAATGGTGATTAATTGAAATTACATTCTCCTCATCTTTGCCTAAATATCCCAGGGCCTGAATATTAGAGAGAACAAGAGTGTGGGATAGACTGTGAGGAAAGAAGCACTCTCAACTGTTACCTTTGGAAAGATGAGCTGCTACAACTTTTCTGGAAAGTTTCTGGCCTATCATTTAGCTCAGAAAGAGTAACTTTTTGGAAAATATTTTATGATAAACAGTAAATAGTTATATATGTGTGTATATATATATACACACACACAGTGATATTGATCATAAGATTGATTGTAGTGACAAAGCCACAGTTAAAAAACTTGGTTTTGAAATATTATATAACAATTAAAATAACTATCTAGAGTTCTCTTTCATCTCTCTATATCTCTATTCAGTTGTCTATCTGTATATCAATTCATCGTCTATTTATCCATCTATTAAAATAGGAGAGAAATATTCATACCATGGAGTTAATTTAAAAATAAGTTTCAGGCCGGATGCAGTAGCTCACACCTGTAATCCCATACTTTGGGAGGCAGAAGCAGGCGGATCACCTAAGGTTGGGAGTTCAAGACCAGCCTGACCAACATGGAGAAACCCCAATTCTACTAAAAATACAAAATTAGCCGGCATGGTGGCACATGCCTGTAATCCCAGCTACTTGGGAGGCTGAGGCAGGAGAAGTGCTAGAACTCGGGAGGCGGAGGTTGCAGTGAGCTGAGATTGTGCCATTGCACTCCAGCCTGGGCAACAAAAACAAACAAAAAAAGTTTCAAAATTATACACTTAATATAACTAGATTTATGCTCCTTTCCTTCCAAAAGAAACCTCATAATAATGACAATACCCCAGGATGTATAATTATTTTTTATGTGCATAAAAAATAAAATAATATTAGTATATAGATATGATATAGTTTCAAATTGCATCATGTGGAGATTCATAAAAAATGTTTTAGAATATTAAAACTTGGAGAAATGTTTACTTATAGTTTTAATTGATTTTCTGCCATGGTTTTTCAATTTTGAATACTATAACACTGCTGATTAAGAGTTATGAAAGTTACCTATAAGTAATTGCCTTAATGAATACTTGCCAAAATATGTTATTTGCTCTCCTGAACTTAGGTGTTATAGATTGATTTCACAATTAAAAATAAAGAATTTTCTTTTTCTCAGTTCTGCTAAAGTTTTTTATTAATATGAGTGCATTTCAAGTTCATATAATTAAATACATTGTGTTTTATATAAAATAAATACAGGTGTATGTATACCTGTAACATGAAACTACATACAATGAGTTGAATTGGGATTAAGAATCAAATCTAATAGAAAATTACTTAATTCAATAGAGCTGGATTATAGGCATGAACCAGCATGCCCAGCTAAAATCTTAATTAAATAAATAAAATCCTTACTCCTTTGATATGAATAATGTTAATAGGTAATAAAGACAATATTAACAGAATTTTAAGACTGTACTAACCATCTAGAAGGAGTCATATATTAAGTACATAAAAGTATGCGTTGAATAAAATTGTCTTGCATAGAAGGTTGTAATATTTGGAAATGATAGTATAAAAGAATATCGGAGTACATATTATTGCTTTAAAGATCTTGGGCAAAATTTCTGCCTGAACAGATTATGTAAAAATGGCAGAATTGAACTGCATCAAACTATCATTTTCTTTCAGTATTCAAATAAATGAACATTAAAAATAAAATCCTTGAAAAATCGCTGCCAAGTAATGATTCTAGAAACTGGAAAAGCTGCCAAGAGTATTGGCATTCAGTACTCTTATTGAAGCTTGTAAGCCCAAGAGGTCATAGGATGGGCAAATAGAAGCCAGAAATTCTTAATATGAGCCTCAAACATGAAGAAAAAATTCTGAAGCAGTATCTTTACCATACACTTATTAAAACTGGTGAGTTCTGGAAAGTGCTGCCCACATGAAAGGGGTGGAGAAGCTTAAGGTGCATTGAATTTTTGTTCTTGATTATTTCTTCCCTTCACTGTAAGAGAAGCATACAAGTCTTCCAATTGGCATTTGCAGCACTTTCATGGGTAGCATGTGAATTTCTTCTCCAATATTAGGCCCAAAGGTGTGACTTGCTGGGGTTAATAAAATAGGAGTAAAAGCAACAGTATCCAAATTCTAAGCAGCTTCATGCAGCATTGCATGCGTCTACTAATTTGCTCTAATAGAAGTGTGAATTTCAAATTACATAATAAATTGAGAATCTAATCTGTAGCAGAAAAGTAATAACAGGTACTCATGTCTAATATATTTATTCATTCTTTCATTCAAAAATCATTAATTAAGAAGTTACAATGCACTAGTTTCTATGGCAGCTATTGAGGACACAGTGTGAGGGCATTTAACATCATTGCAGAAACCGAAGCAGAGCTCAGGTATTCTAACAAAGACTACACACTGCTCATCCAAGTATCTCCTTTCCTGTCATGCTTTCAGGCTACCAAAATGTGGCTGGCAGAAAAAATCACTAGTTTTAAACAGTAATGAGGCAGGGAAGATAAGCAATACAGACATGATAAGAACATGGTCAAGACTGTCAAAGACAGAAGAAAAGATCTTGACAAAGCTATCCAACAACAAAAACAAAAAAGTGAAAAGAAATGGAAAGGTAGCTCTGCAAACTAACCTATGAAAATAAAAGCAAGGATTATCCCATGAACAATGTAGATTGGTATGACGCTGACACAGAACAAATGACTTAAAGTATTGTAATATTATTTTTAATTTAAGAAAACAATATCTATAAGACATAATGTAAAAGAAAAAAAGAAGGAAAATGTAGCTTGCAGACCTAACTAATTAGATCAAGGACCAAAAGAACCTCTGAGAAAATAAGAAAATTAGTTCAACATAGCAAGAAACAGAGTAAACAAGGCAGAAATAATGCAATCACATAGACTCTTTATGATCATTTATATTATAGAGAAACATTACAGAAATTCAGGTGGGAGGGAATAATTATTTTTGTCATCAAATGGTGGAAAAAACCTTACAGGAAGGGAAGCCAGTCGGCATAGCCTCAAATTTCTATCTATCATCATTTAAATGCTCGCAAACACATCAATGATGATTGGAAAGCTCTAAATAATGGAAAGTGTAACTTAAGAACATTACACTCAATTTACATGTTTTCCAAGCATAAAATAAACTAACAGGCTGTGTAGTAAAAGAACTCAGGTATGACAACACAGAAGCTATCCATGATATATCTACTTAAAGACAAATTTTAATCAATTAGAAAATAAGCTAAGTAAAGAATTCAAGAAGAGAAAAGCATCCATCCATATCTGAATCAATTTAAAACAAAGCTAGTATAAATATCTACCTAACACATCAAAAATGTCATGTTAAAATGTTACAGCAATAAATTTACTAACAAAAAATTTAAAAAGGAGAGGAGAATTTAGGAGACATTTAACAATGCTAGTGACTTAGTAAAATGATGATTTGTAATTTAAAGCAAAGTTAAAAATTATGTAAGGATTCCATCCTTAATATGTTTCATAGTTGCTTTTCTTAGCCTTATTCTGATCTTTTGAGATAATGTTTGGGTGTGAAAACTTTTAAACAAAACACGTCTACAATCTTTCGTGTTAACTTCACTTTACTTTTTGATGTTAGATTAAAGACTAAAAAGTTTCCTTAACATAACTTAGGAATTTTGAACTATTTTGATAAAAATATAAATAGATAAATATATGTGTATCATTTGATTGATATGTATGCATAGGATATACCAGGGATGATATTGTTAATAATTAACCATGGAATATTAGTAGGTTAATACAACAATGTATGAAAAGAATTACATGTCATTAACAAGAGGGATTTATTTAAGGTATGTAACAGTGGTTCAACATACAAAAATCAAATAATGTAATCGACCATATGAACAAGATTACAAATAAATCCGTATGATCATAAAACACTTCACAAAATAAATATCTAGGAGTACATACTTATGTAAATAAAGGAATCAAGTTGGCTTCATTCCTGGGATGCAAGTTTGGTTCAACATATGCAAATCATTAATTGTGATTCATCGCATAAACAGAACTAAAGACAAAAACCACATGATTATTTCAATAGATGTAGAAAAGGCCTTTGATAAAATTCAACACTCATTCATGTTAAAGACTTTCTATAAGCTAGGTATTGAAGGAACACGCCTCAAAATAATAAGAGCCATATATGACAAACCCACAGCTAATATCATACTGAATGGGCAAAAGGTGAAACCATTCCTCTTGAAAACCAGCACACGACAAGGATGCCCTCTCTCATCACTCCTATTCAACATACTATTGGAAGCTCTGGCCAGGGCAATCAGGCAAGAGAAAGAAATAAAGGATATTCAAATAGGAAAAGAAGTCAAATTATCTTTATTTGCAGATGACATGATCCTATAGCTAGAAAACCCCATTGTCTCAGCCCAAAAGCTTCTTAAACTGATAAGCAACTTCAGCAAAGTCTCAGGATATAAAATCCATGTGCAAAAATTGCTAGCATTCCTATACACCAACAACAGGCAAGCAAAAAGCTGAATCATGAATGAACTCCCATTCACAATTGCTGCAAAGAAAATAAAATACCTAGGAATACAGCTAACAAGGGAAGTAAATGACCCCTTCAAGGAGAACTACAAACCACTGCTCAAAGAAATCAGAAAGGACACAAACAAATGGAGAAACATTTCATGCTCATGGGTAGGAAGAATTAATATCATGAAAATGGCCATATTGTACAAAGTAATTTATAGATGCTATCTATAATTTATAGATGTTATCCCCATTAAGCTACCATTGACATTCTTCACAGAATTAGAAAAAACTATTTTAAAGTTCATATAGAACCACAAAAGGGCCGGACTAGCCAAATCCTAAACAAAAAGAACAAAGGAGGCATCACATTACCCATCTTCAAACTATACAAGGCTACAGTAACCAAAACAGCATGGTACTGGTACAAAAACAGACACATCGACCAATGGAAGAGAATAGAGAACTCAGAAACAAGACTGCACATCTATAACCAACTGATTTCCAACCAACCTGACAAAAACAAGCAATGGAGGAAAGGACTCCCTATTTAATAAATGGTGCTGGGAAGGCTGGCTAGCCATATGCAGAATATTGAAATTGGCTGGACCTCTTCCTTAAGCCATATACAAAAATTAACTCAAGATGGATTAAATAGTTAAAAGTAAAACCCCAAACTATAAAAATACTAGAGGAGGATCTAAGCAATATCATTCAGGACATAGGCACAGGCAAAGATTTCATAACAAAAATGCCAAAAGCAATTGCAACAAAAGCCAAAATTGACAAACGGGATCTAATTAAACTGAAGAGCTTCTGCACAGCCAAAGAAACTATCATCAGAGTGAACAGACAACCTACAGAATGGAAGACAATTTTTGCAATCTATCCATCTGACAAATGTCTAATATCTAGAGTCTATAAGGAACTTAAACAAATTTACAAGAAAAAAACATTAAAAAGTGGGCAAAGGATATGAACAGACACCTCTCAAAAGAAGACATACATGAGGCAAAAAAAATATGAAAAAAATGTCAACATTGATCATTACAGAAATGCAAATCAAAACCACAGTGAGATACCACCTCATGCCAGTCAGAATGGCTGTCATTAAAAAGTCAAAAAACAACAGATGCTGGTGTGGTTGTAGAGAAAAAAAGAATGCTTTTACACTGTTGGTGGGAGGGTAAATTAGTTCAACCATTGTGGAAGACAGTGCGGTGATTCCTCAAAGATCTAGGGGTGGAAATACCATTTGACCCAGCAATCCTATACTGGGTATATACACAAAGGAATATATGTTATTCAATTATAAAGATACCTGCATGTGTACGTCCATTGCAGCACCGTTCACAATAGCAAAAACATGGAATCAACCTAAGTGCCCATCAGTGATAGACTGGATAAATAAAATGTTTTACATATACACCATGTAATACTAAGCAGACACAAAAAGGAACGAGATCATTTCCTTTGCAGAGACATGGATAAAGCTGGAAGCCATTATACTTAACAAACTAATGCAAGAACAGAAAACCAAACACCACATGTTCTCACTTATAAATGGGAGCTATATAATGAGAACATATTGGACACATGGGGGTGGGGAACAACACACATTGGGCACCAGTGGGAAGGGTTGGGGAAGGGAGAGCATCAGGAAAAATAGCTAATGGATACTGGGCTTAATACATAGGTGATGGGATGATCTGTGCAACAAACCACCATGGCACATGTTTACCTATGTAACTACCCTGCACATGCACCTCTGAACTAAAAATAAAAGTTGAAGGAAACAAATATAAAAAGAATAGAAAAATATCTGCAGGAAACTTTCAAATAATTTGTGTCCATACTATGCCCTTTAGTAGTTGGAGCAGAGCTCCCTATTCCTTAAGTGTAGGCTATCCATAGTGACTTTCTTCCAAGGATTATAGTACAAAAAGGGGTAAATCAGTAATTTCGTGGAGAAACCCAGCAAACACTACCTCAGCAAAGTTATCAACATCAACATTAATTGTGGTAATTAATGTTGATAGTATATGTTCTTAATATGATTCATGAAAAATGGCACTTATTCTCTGTGACTTCCTTGCAAAAACATAACCCTAGCATAATCATGAGAAACACATTGCACAATTCCCAATAAAAAATATACGATATACAAAATATTTGACCAGCATTTTTCAAAGCTGTCAAGGTTATTAAAAGCAAAGAAAACTGGAGAAATTGTTATAGCCAAGAGGAGCCTAAGGGGACATGGCACTTAAATGTAATGTGGTAACCTAGATGGGACCCTGGAACAGAAAAAGAACATTAGCTAAAAGCTAAAGACACCTGAATAAAGTCCAGGGTTGAGTTAATAATACTGTATTAATATTCATTTATTAAACATAACAAAAGTATTATAGTAATGTAGGACATTAATAGTAGGGGACACTGAATGTGAGGTATATGGGAAATCTCTGTGCTATTTTCACAATATTTCTGTAAATCCAAAACTGTTCTAAGCAATAAAGTCTATTTAAAGGAAATTAATGATGAGCAGAGCTAGGTGGTGGTTTTGGGGGAATGCATCTCCATTATTGCTTTGATAAGAGAATTTAAACTTAATATAAAAATAATAGTGTTTAAAAAGTGAAAAAATTTCAAAAATTGTAGATAATTTCATGATATTGGGTGCATCTGTTTCTACTGAGTCTGTTTTACATTACTATAATTTATTTTTTGTTGTAGTATATAAAACATTTAAGTATGTTTTATATTGCTCTATTTTATCAATGGCTACACAATAAGAAATCATTTTTGAAAAAGGCATGATGTACTTACAGAAGTGCATTATTTCTTTCTCTCATTTGTGCAATATTGACTGAATATCTTCTTTGATATCTTTAGATCTAGATGTTGAGAATTTAAATTACAAGAAAACAAAAAAAAAATCCAAAAGAGGATAATGAAAAGAAAATTATTGCCCTTTTGTGACAAACCTACCAGACTTCTCATTATACATCCATCTAACCCTTTTTAAAGTTAATCATAATCTTACCTATAACTTTATTATCTAAAATTATAAAAATTAGATTTAGCAAGTTTCTTTATAATACAATAGAGTTTACCTAATATATGCATACATATTCCTACACACACACACACATGCTAGGGTTTCTGAAGGTTCAGATAACCCAGCCTTTGTATGTAACTACGTTGACATATTCTCTTCAAATTTTCTATTCTTCCAAAACAATCTATCTGCTTAAACTCTAAATCAACTTTAGTGTTACTAGTAATAACTTTAAGTCTTCATGTTATCAGGTATTTTCAAATATTGGCATTACTTTTGTCTAATCATTAGTCTGATGTATAGAAGTGCTGGGCCTTTTGTAACTGAGAATATTTCTAATGGCATATAATTCATACTTAAGGCAGTGCTCTTTTAAGTAAAAGAGTGTATTATATAATGTAGGTTGATTAAAAAGATATGGTTTCTGTGAAAGGCTGTCTTGTCTTAGGTATTTTCCAGTTCATAAATCAGCCTGTTTGTGATCAAAGTTGTTTCTATTTATAGAAAGAAATGGACTCAAGTTTCATAAATCTTGCACTGGGGTGTGATGCATAAAAATACAGAAAATAAAAATGTGCTTCAGCAGGGAGAGACCTATACGCAGACCTCTAGCCAAGAAATAAGAAACTGTTAAAAATGTTCTTTTTGTCATTCTTCACTTAGACATGATTGCACGGAACTTATAATTTTCTCTCTCACACTCACGAGCACACACATACACAAGCTGTTATGGACTTAATGTTATAGACTGATCCTGCTCCCCCAAATTCTTATGTTGAAGTCCTCACACCCATATGTGATGATGTTTGCAGGTGGAACCTTTGGGAGATAATTAGGTTTAAATGAGGTCATGAGAATGAGGCCCTTATGATGGGATTAGTGCCCTCATAAGAAGAGGAAGAGAGGTAAGAGTTCTCTCTCTTTCTGCCAAGTATGTGCACGGTGAGAAGGGTTGCCTTCAAGCCTAAAAAGTGCTCAGAATGAAAACCACCTTCCCGGGACCTTGATTTCAGACTTCCCAGCCTCCCTAACTGTAAGAAATAATTTTCTATGTTTTAAGCTACCCAGTTTATGGTACTTTGTTATAATAGCTTGAGTTGACACACACCCCCATCAAAGTTTAACATTTTCTTGTAGTCCAGAAACATACAGAATTAATGAATCTTGTGGATTAAAATACTATCCCACCATTCAACTAAGATACCTATAAATAGATGCAAAATGACACAATTCCACCATTGTAAAAATCAGGAAATTATAATGTCGCAATCTTGTAGTATGCTCCCATGCCCAAGGCCTCAGCGATGTTACTGTGAAGAACTTACCAAGCTTCCCTTCATTATGCAGTATATTGTCCTTTAACTTCTCTCAATTTCTTCCTTTCCTACTTCCTCTCTTTCTCCCTCTCTTTCTCTGTCTCTTTCAATCTGGTTATACAGAGTTGCCTGGGAAATAGTAGGAAGATGCTTTCAATTTTTCTCACAGCCTATCCAATGAGTCAAAGAATCAGTCTGATGACATGAAAGCTAAGCAGCCAAACATATTTTGGCTGTTCGCTGATTTTTTTTCTTCCAGGCAACCTATTGACCTTTCAGTACTTACAATTTTTCACATGCATTCAAAGGTGGTGATTCTCAGGAGAAAAAAAAAGTTATGGAGTGCAAGAGAAATGTGTGAGTGTGTTGTGGGGGCTGCTGACAACGGCATTTTAAATACTACAATGTACAGTTCCCACAAATAAAGCACTAGAAAGAAGTAGCAGAGAGTGGGGGAAAAGGAGTTTATGCTTGTTTTGAAAAATCTTTCCTCATGTCAGAGCTACAGGTAATCTAATAGTAGGTTCACAAGGAATGTTGCCACGTTAGAAGAAAGATGTTCAAAGTAAGAATTTGAGGGAATTTATGGATTACACTTGGAGCTCTAGGTGATAAATGGTTCTTTAAATGTAAATCGAAAAGGAAAATGTGCAAGAGGACAGACAGCAAATTAATGATAGTAAAATAGTTGTTTATTATTATTATCATTATCCTTATTACAACAACAGCAGCAGCAACCACTAAAATTAACTACATATTGCTCAATTCCAGTTACTGTTTTCAGGACTTTGCACGTATCATATTATTGAATTCTCAAAAAAACTATGAAGCATTTGCTATTACTAGCCTAATTTTACAGATTAGGAAACAGAGATGTAGGATGTTAAACTAATTATTCAAGGTCACACAGCCTGTAAACAGTAGCATTTGAAACATTAACACAGTATATAAGGCTCAAAATTTGTTGCAGAGATCTTGAACTGCAGCCTCTTCCTAGATGATTAATAGTATGATTTTTAATGAAAAAACAATAGAATTTAAGTAACATTTTTTATTAGGAATTATACAACATTGCTGTGTGTGATTTGAATATAGACTATATTCTAATTCTAACCTTCAGTATCACAGTAATTCTCTATTCTTTTCTAAAGCTAAGCTCCTCTATTCCCTTTCACAATATATTATTTTAAAAGGTTCTAAAAATCACCTAAATCTTTACAATCCTAGATCTTGATTTATTTTATTTTTAAATATGGAACAGTTAATGAGCTTCCTATCCTCTGAGATTTATCTAACTTGAAATCTAAGAATGCCACAACCTTTCTGGAAGTGTTTCTAATAGATTAGCAATTAATTTAATTAAATGAGCTCATTTTTATTTTTAATGAAGTTGTTACTGTAGTAGTCATTTTCTGAGTATTGTACTTCAGGTATCTAAATATAGTTCTTCCATTTGCCTAAATAATACCTTGTGTAAATTAAAACAATACCTCTTTATTTCAATGCTTAATCTTCTCTCATTCACAAAGATGCCAGTAAATAGTTCTTTGGGTCTTTCCAACATTCAGAAACTGCCACAATGTTTTCAGAGAAAAACAATCATTACATAGTTGTATTATTTTAAGTAAAAATAGAATAGTTAAACAGGGATGTGGTAGATCACCATGACTGCTACTTTATTTTCCAATATTGAAATATTGACTTTAATGATAACTCTAACAACAAAAAGAAGCATTG
Organism: Homo sapiens; assembly: GCF_000001405.40. Lineage (NCBI taxonomy): Eukaryota > Metazoa > Chordata > Mammalia > Primates > Hominidae > Homo > Homo sapiens. The sequence continues at coordinate 120,022,175 of NC_000007.14, read as the reverse complement.
GAAAGCAGCCAGGATATTAATTTACATGTTCTCTATATAAATGTTATAAAAAAGTTGAAGGAAAGGAGAAAAGCATGCCTTAAATTAAAAAAATAATTAAAAATAGGAGGAAGGGAAAAAGTAGGGGTGTAAAGTAAAAAGTGACAAAAATGTTTTTGTAACTTGAAAATGTTAAGCTAATACTAATTTAACTTACATGCTTTATCTGGGAAGAGGTGATTTCTATAAAGGAGAAGAAATTAAGCAAATCTGAGTTAGAATGGACAGTGAGACTGTCAGGATATATATATATGTATGTATGATATTGTGTGTGTATTATATATATACATAGCCATATCAATAAAACATATAATCATGTGGAACACTAACAAACTTAGTAATGCATGCTAATACATAGGGAAAAACTCAGTATGAAGAGAATCCAGAAGATAGAGTTTGAAATAAAAAAGCAGGTTAAAGAACAGAGTAATATGCTCATCCTAAACCAAAGAAAAGTTTCGTAACAGGTCTAGGCATTTTCTAGGGATACAACATGAATTGGTGATTCAAATGATGGAAACAAGGTGAATTTCCTCTGTTTGTTAAATGAGGTAGACAATAGACAGTGATTAAAGTATTAACTTTTGCAGAGACACCGGAAGCTGAGAAATCATGTTGAAAGTGGGACTGGGGATGGAGAACTGATTTAATTTAGTTTCCTCAGCTTCATATTTTTTAGGGGACGAAGAGAGAGGGGATATCTTTCAAGAAAAGGCACTGATACCTAAAAAAAAGTTTCATGGTCCTTTAAATCTTTTAGAGGAAATATATTTTCTAGCACTTGTTACACAAAGAAAAACAGTTTAGTGAACTGTACACTGTTTGGAAAATTCATATGTTGTATTCAGTGTTTTTGATGATGTAAGATTGGGTCACAGCAAAAATATGCAATTTTACATTCCCTGAATATTTTCCTAGATTACAAATACAAAATACTACACTGAAATATTACCAATATTTCATTTACCTTCAAATATGAAGACAACACTTGTAAAAAAAGGAAATATTTGTAATTAAATCTTGAAACAATAAATAAAAATCTTTATGAAATAGAAAAGTAAAGATCTCCAAACAAAAATACTCAAAAACTAAGAGAGAGAGAAAAAAGAAAGAAAATACAGATAACCTTCAAGGATTAGAGTATCTAATAGATACATGGGAATCATAGTCTACCTCTCATTAGGAAAATAAATATATTTTGATTTACCTGAAAGTACACAAATTCTGAGTAGATGAGTCTCTAAGGCTATATTTCAGAAAGAAAATTTTAAAAACCCACAGAAGACAGTACAGTTGGCCCTCTGGATCGATGGATTCCACGTACTCAGATTCAACCAAGGTGGACTGAAAATATTTTTAAAAACCCACACAATAAAAATTTAAAAAATTTTTTAAAAACCCACACAATAAAAAATATTTATTTGTTCATAAATAACTTTATGAGAATTATGGGAATTGTGCATAGGTTATATGCAAATAATGAACTATTTTAAATAAATTATTTCCCTATTCACTGATTTGGGAATCAATGGGGGTCCTTGAACCTATTTTGCATGAATTCCTAGAGACAACTGTAATGAGTTACAAGGAGAACAGGTACACAAGTAAATAAGTATTTTGATAAGTCATATAACAATATGGATATCATGGTTATATTTGAAAGCTAATTAGCATATTTCAATTTGATATTTAAAAGCAACTTTAAATTAAAATGTTAGATGTTGATAATATAGAAATTAGCAAAGAGGAAGTTGACAATTTTAAAGAAATATTCTAATTTACTGAAAATATACATATGTAGTTCTTTTTTATTGAAATTAATGGAAAAAATCCTGAAAGTATATATAGAACCATAAAAGTATATGAACTCTCTCATTCAAACTCGTAAAGTAAGAAAAACGAAAATGAAAGAAATTCAATCAGTGTAAGAGAAGTCAAAGAAGGAAAATGAAGGAAGCATTAATGGAAAATATAAAACACAGAATGCCACATTTAAAGTGAATTCATATAAATCAGTAATTTTGATAAATAGAAATAGATTAAACACTCCTTTGAAAAGCACAGATTCCTTTGAAACCTAATAAGTAATTCCGAATAAATCAGCAATCATGAAAAATATAAACATACATACTCTTTAATATGCAGAGGCTCATTTGAATTGAAACAACTTTCTTAGAAAAAGGTAGAGCAGATACGTATTTAAATAAATATGGAAAAATTAAATGGGAAGTCAGAATTTAGAGACACTACGTATAACCAACTTTTTCAAAGGAGTTTTTCTATAACATAGAGGAAAGACAGTAGCTGGTGGAAAAAAGTAGGAATAAAAACAGATTTTTTTAAAGAAGGAGAAACAGCAGCATTCTGTGCACATGGATATGATCCAGTGAAAAGTGAAAATACAGGCGCTTGGAGAACCACTACAGCAATATTTAACATAGACAACAAGACATGCCTACAGTTTATGAATCAAAATATGGTGTTTTGATATAATAATTAAATGAAGAAAACAACCCTTAGAAGAGATATGGGAATGAGGAGGCATGGGTTAACACATGTGTTCTAATTCATGATGGTGAATCAACAATACTCTAAAAAGTTAATTATAGTAAATAAACTCAAAACCCTTAAAGATAGATGTAATAGTAAATATCAGAAGAGCTAAAACAAATGTTTACCACTAGTTACCTTTGTGAGTGAGAAGATGAAGACTTTTATTTTAAATTTATATTATTCTGGGCTATTTGAAAATTATTACAATGTGGATGTATTTTTTTAAAAAAACACTTTCATATAACAAATATGAAATAAGCTTTATGAACAAACAATGTGAAGTAAACAAATATGAAACAAACTTTGAAGTAACAAATTATGCTACATCTTCCAATGGAACATAAAGATGCAATTACATAGAACAAAAATAATCTACACGTTAACAATGAAAGATTTTCCAATATATTATTATGTGAAAAAATACAGTTACAGAAAAATATGTATTAAATTCTGAATGTATGCATTCGGGTATATTGGGGAGGGGAAAAGAAAATCTCTTTGTTAGCTGAATATTTTAAAAACCATGAACATGCATTACTCATATAATTATCATATTCTTAACTAATACATTTTAATAACTAATAAGAATTCTAGATGTCAAAGGTTTCTGAGAAGTGTTTGATCATAATATAGTGATATATACCAACTGGGAGGATAAAAATCTTTCTCTTTTAATGCTGGAAGAAAGTCATGGAGCCTCCATTAACATATCAATTTGATCACTTTTATTGCTATTAATTACTGACCATTGATGCATAAGTATCTACCTACTTTTATTTAGAATTGCTACAGAGATGAGGACAGTAGTTCAGATCTTACCTTCCTGCACTGACTCCCTTGTACAGTATTTACTACAACCTTGAATCTGCACACGTGAATTATGAGAATAACTTCAATCATTTAATCAGACCATTATATATGCGTAAATTCTATTTGTTGTCAAAATAAGGAAACTGTCCTACATTGTTATTTATCCTAGAATAAATGATATTGACAATGGAGTATTATGTCCTCCTCTTGTATGCTTTTAGAAACATTAATTTATTTGGGTATATAAAACAAAATAAGATCTATTTATTTAGTTGTATTAACATAACTGTAGAGTGGGGAAGAAGGGAAGATTTAGGTGTTATAGCTCAAATCAGATCTTTTTTGTGCCTTAACCTCAAATGTCCGTGGGAAATACCTAATTGTCTAATCATAAAGAAGAAAAACTATATGTTTGAGAATAATCAAAGGCTTCCAATTTAAAATGACAGAATTGCCTCCTAGAGGAATGAGAACCAACACAGGGAAAAAACTTGATATATCAGTCAACACATTGTGAACAAATATCATATTTCATCAAATCCTTCTCTTGTTTGTTATAATTCTTTTGAGTCTTTTCCTTTTTGATTCTTTTAGACTTGTTTTTATGTTTCTATATTGTCAGATGGTCTTCTCGTTTAACATGTACTGATTCTAACAAATAGAATTAGCTAATGTTATAAAATCTGTTGTTAATAATGACTTAAACATAAATTATAGTATTTCACAATACAAATAATTGGCATTTATCTCTGTTTTCTGATTGTAAGTTTTGTATTACAAGCAATTCAACATTATATTGGGGGCCTACTGTGTGCCAGGAACTGTCCTAGAGAATTGGACTATATCTGTGAACAAAATAGAATTAGATTCTTTTCCCCCCCAAACAAATTCTGAAAACATTATGAACTGTGTTAGAAACTGAATTGAATAGAGAAACATATATTTGCTCCTTTTCACTCCAATGTTTTTAATATTCTTAGAAAACTTATGGATATTATGAATTCATAGATACAAATGCAAATCCAGATGAAAACTGTGACCTGCATGCTGGGATTGCAGAGTACCAGGCTGTATTGGGAATTAGAAGCCTGGCAGATGATGGATGGTGACAGCATTGTTTCACTTAATGAAGTGGCTATTGAAGCTTAAAGGAGGAAAGATGACAAAAGGGAACTGAGCACTTCTGTCTGTGGAAGAAGAAAAAGCTTTATATTATACTAAGGAGAACTGTACTCACTACTTCTTTTTGAACTTCATTAATCTTTTCTGAGAAAATCTATCTCATTGTCAAGCAGCTTGATGGCCACTTTGGGAAAATGCCTTGCTTCTTCATAATGGAACCACTGCCTTCATTATCCTGAGGCTCCAGTGATATTCCACCTTCACAGAACTAATAAGAGCAGCAATGCTCTGGAGAAGTCAGTGTGAAGATGCCAAATGGTACCGTTGAGACAACATTTTGCCTCCTGGGGCAATTTTTCTTTATTAATTTGTTACTGAGAACAGCAACACATAGAAGAGCCAAATGATGTTGCTGAGAATTTTTATGCAGAGACATTTATATTTGAGTACAAGAAAGAGAAGCTTTTGAAGTTCTAGTGAATCTTTTCTGTAGCCTGATCTTAAGGTTTAATAGTGCAAACTTTCACTGAAGGCAAAACAAAATGTCACAACAAAAATATATATCTATGAAAATCCACACTTCTAAAAGCAGACATTTTCCAGTGCCAATCCCCAAAGCTTTCCACAGTCCTTATTTATATCTATTTTTATACAAAGAAAGCAGAAGAAAAACAAATGCAAATTACCTAAGACTCCTTCCTTTTGAAAATATTCAAAGTAAAAAATATGAAACAAACTTTCAAGTAACAAATTATGCTACATCTTCCAATGGAACATAAAGACGCAATTACATAGAACAAAAATAATCTACACATGTTAACAATGAAAGATGTTCCAATGTATTATTATGTGAAAAAATACAGTTACAGAAAAATATGTATTAAATTCTGAATGTATGCCTTTGGGTATATTGGGGAGGGGAAAAGAAAATCTCTTTGTTAGCTGAATATTTTAAAAACCATGAAGATGCATTACTCATATAATTATCATATTCTTAACTAATACATTTTAATAACTAATAAGAATTCTTTGAATATTACAATATAGACTTTTATTAGCAGAAAAATCATTTTTCATATAAGAATATCTAAGTAATTAGGAAGTATTTTTAAAATGAATAACTCATTATTAATCATTGCTTTTCTTTTAAAAACCATTGGGCAGACAGCTTTTGTTTTTAATGTGTAGTCAATTAAATCATTTTGGTGCTCTAACATAGCTCAGCTGTATCATACTTTGCTTTCACAATGCCTTGATGTTTTGTCTTTGATATGACTGTTTTTTCTTTTAAATCACAGGTACTTATTTTCAGCCTTGTTTTCCTCCATCGGTTCCTGCATCTGTGCAGGGTGGAACTGGCTGTGTATCAGTTCCAACCCATTAATGATAGGGATCACAGACTAAAAAAAAATAGCCTAGAATGCCAATGGCTGTGTGGAGAAGGCAGAAAATGAGGACAATGTCTGCTGCTGGCCTAATACTTTGCCTTAAAAATGTAGTGTTGTGTTCTTGGGGGTTATTATTCTTCAATGGTTCAGAAGAGAATTTAGAAAACTGGAGTTAGCAGTTTTCTTTTATTATCTTTACTTAAGCTTGTACCTAGAATAGGCCAAAATGGAAACACTGCTCACATCTGACTATGAATGTGAACATTCAGAATAAACAAGTAGAATATTACAAATGAGAAAATAAAAGGGGCTTTTAAAAAGTGTTAGCCATATTTTTTTTTCAAACATTCTTTGAGATATAACTGGCAGCCAGACTAATCCAGGATCCAGTATTTTGGCTAACCACACAAGGGGAACATAAATTATTAATTGCAGAATTTCAATTACACATTTATTTGAATCCAATATTCCTTTGCTTTTATGGTTTATTAAATCAGCATAAAACTACAACTTAACCACACTATTAAACACATAGATTCAGGTACTTAAACAGATCTAAGATGAGAATTAGACAGAAGTAACTTATAAAGGTTTCTTCTTTCATATCATTTTTTCCTTAACATATTATTATCAACAATTTTTCTAAATGGAGGTTTCCACTTTCAGCACTGACATGTAAAAATCCTGGAAGTTGTTACCTGTGTCCTTATGACAAGAAAATACTGAACAAATGCAAAATCAATGACTCTTGTTAGATGTGGCAGAGAAAGGAGTTTCCACAGGCAAATGTTGAATGTCACAGCTGAGAACCGTTTACTGAGAACAAACACTACTGGAACCGTAGAGTAGTAAGTACACTTAAATGCTAATTTTAATAAATTGTTTGAAGCTGAATTGCTGGACTGAGATTGAGAATTTCCTAAGAGGGCATGTAGATATAAGAGTGCCCCAACAATTTCCTGGGTTTTGCTTCCAAGAATCCAACCACATTCTCGTGGTAAAAATCCAAGAAATATCACTCTGTGGCTTGGGCAGGGGCAGGAGAACAGTAATATTGTGGAAATGTCTTGGTCATTCATTCTCCATAACAAAGGACTGTTTTCCAGGGGGAAAGATTGAACAAAGCTTTGTTCCAAAGCAGTGGGGGACTGGCATTCCTCTCACTCCTGCCCACTGCAGTTTTTCTGTTCTTTCTGAGGAAGTAGGGAACTATATAAGAATTAACACATGTAAATGTCATAGAAGAGAAACAAGAGTCAATAAAAAACTGAGAAACCTTCAACATCAATATCAACTGACAGAGCTGCACCAAGACTTAGCTACTTCCTCCGAAGTGTCATAACTGCTTCACCCTACCCAGCAAGTGCCTTCACATTCCCTGTATTATTCAGGGTTCTGCAGAGGTACAGAGCCAATAAGATATATGTTTCATGCGTGTCTGTGTGAAGAGACCACCAAACAGGCTTTGTGTGAGCAACAAGGCTGTTTATTTCACCTGGGTGCAGGCAGGCTGAGTCCGAAAAGAGAGTCAGCGCAGGGAGATAGGGGTGGGGCCGTTTTATAGGATTTGGGTAGGTAAAGGAAAATTACAGTCAAAGGGGGTTGTTCTCTGGTGGTCAGGGTTGGGGATCACAAGGTGCTCAGTGGGGGAGCTTTTTCAGCCAGGATGAGCCAGGAAAAGGAATTTTACAAGGTAATGTCATCACTTAAGGCAAGGACCGGCCATTTTCACTTATTTTGTGGTGGAATGTCATCAGTTAAGGCAGGAAGAATCACTTCCTTTGTGATTCTTCAGTTGTTTCAGGCCATCTGGGCGTATACATGCAGGTCACAGAGGATGCGATGGCTTAGCTTGGGCTCAGAGGCCTGACATTCCTGTCTTCTTATATTAATAAGAAAAATAACATAAAGTAGTATGGAAGCGTTGAGGCAGTGAAGAAAAAAAATTTTTTTGCGGGGGGTGGTATGGAGAGAGAATGGGTGATGTTTCTCAGGGCTGCTTCGAGCGGGATTAGGGGCAGCGTGGGAACCTAGAGTGGGAGAGATTAAGCTGAAGGAAGATTTTGTGGTAAGGGGTGATATTGTGGGGTTGTTAGAAGAAACATTTGTCGTATAGAATTATTGGTGATGGCCTGAATACGGTTTTGTATGAATTGAAAAACTAAACGGAATAAGAGAAGGAGTAAAACAGGTATTAAAGGACTAAGAATTGGGAGGACTTAGGGCATCTAATTAGAGAGTGCTTAAGGAGATTCAGCATAGTCCTGCCAGCAAAGATTATTTACTTTAAGAGTTAAGAGTGGCGGTTTGGGGATAGCACTAGGAGATATCAGCTGTGATGGCTTGGAGAAACAGTGTAAACTGGCAGTGTAAACAAGAGCAGGGCATGTATGAGTAGCTGAGAATGGTGAATAGGAGTATGATTAGACAGAAAATAGTAGGGATGACAAGTTTTTTGGGGCACAGTCTAAGTTGGTCTGGTGTCTGGAATGAGACTGGGGCCTAATAAAAAGGAGCGTCGATACAGGAGCTCAAATGGGCAGTACTTTGTAGCATTCTAAGGACAGGCCTGAATTCTGAGAGGGGAAAGTGGTAAAAGTATTGTCTAGTCTTTTTAAGTTGGTGGCTGAGCTTGGTGAGGTGTGTTTTTAAAAGACTTTTAGTCTGTTCTACCTTTCCTGAAGACTGAGGACTGTAAGGGATATAAAGGTTTCACTGAATACCAAGAGCCTGAAAAACTGCTTAGCCAATTTGACTAATAAAGGCCAGTCTGCTATCGGACTGTATAGAGGTGGGAAGGCTAAACCAAGGAATTATGTCTGACAGAAGGGAAGAAATGAGAGTGGTGGCCTTCTTAGACCTTGTGGGAAAGGCTTCTACTTACCCAGTGAAAGTGTCTACCTAGACCAAGAGGTATTTTAGTTTCCTGACTCAGGGCATGCTGAGTAAAGTCAATTTGCTAGTCCTGGGCGGGGGCAAATCTCTGAGCTTGATGTATAGGGAAGGGAGGGGGCCTGAATAATCCTTGAGAAGTAGTAGAATAGCAGATGGAACACTGAGAAGTTATTTCCTTGAGGATAGATTCCTACGATGGAAAGGAAATGAGAGGTTCTAAGAGACAGGCCAGTGGCTTGTACTACAGCATAGCCTGCCTTTGCTGGTGTGTGGCAATTAGGCCTGGTGGAACTGCCATCAATAAACTAAGTGTGATCAGGGTAAGGAACAGGAAAGAAGGAAATATGGGGAAATGGGGTGAATGTCAGGTGGATCAGAGAGATACAGTCATGGAGGTTAGGTGTGGTATCAGGAATAATGTGGGAGGCTGGATTGAAGTCTGGGCCAGGAACAATGGTGCTTGTGGGAGACTTAACAAAGTGAGTACAGCTGAAGGAGCTGGGGAGCAGAAAGTATGTGTCAGGTGAGAGGAAGAAAATAGATTTTGGAAGTTATGAGAACTGTAGAGAGTGAGTTGAGCATAGTTTGTGATTTTAAGGGCCTTTAAAATTATTAGGGCGGTGGCGGCCGCCGCACGCAGACTTGAGGGCTAGGCAAAACAGTAAGGCCTAGTTGTTTGGATAAAAAGGCTACAGGAAGCGTTCCTGGTTCTTGTGTAAGAATTCTGACTGCACAGCCCTGCACTTCGGCTGTGGGTAATGAAAAGGGTTGGGATCAGTCAGGGAGAGCTAGGCTGGGGGCAGTCTCTAAAGCTATCTTCAAGGAATGGAAAGAGGAGTGGGGAAAGGATTTAGGATCTATGGGGTCAGCTAGGTTTCCTTTTGTAAGTTTATATAATAGTTTTGTTAGGATGGCAAAACCAGGTATCTATCTAAAGTCGAAAGTATCTAACCATGCCTAGGAAGGAAAGGAGTTGTTTTATAGAATGTGCTGGGGTTTGAGAGATCAGTCAGACACGATTGGCAGGGAGAGCGCGTGTGTTTTTATGAGAATTATGCCGAGATAGGTAACAGATGAGGAAGAAATTTGGGCTTGATTGAAGTAATGGGGGCTGTCTGTGAAGCTTTGCGGTAGTACAGCCCGGGTAATTTGCTGAGCCTGATGGGTGTCAGGGTCAGTCCAAGTGAAAGCGAATACAGGTTGGGATGAAGGGTGCAAGGGAATAGTAAAGAAAGCATGTTTGAGATCTAGAACAGAATAATGGATTGTGGAGGGAGGTATTGAGGATAGGAGAGTATATGGTTTGGCACCATGGGGTAGATAGGCAAAACAATCTGGTTGATAAGGCGCAGATCCTGAACTAACCTGTAAGCCTTGTCTGGTTTTAGGACAGGTGAAATGGGGGAATTGTAAGGGGAGTTTATAGGCTTTAAAAGGCCATGCTGTAGCAGGTGAGTGATAACAGGCTTTAATCCTTTTAAAGCATGCTGTGGAATGGGATATTGGCATTGAGTGGGGAAAGGGTGATTAGATTTTACTGAGATGGTAAGGGGTGCATGATCGGTCACCAAGGAGGGAGTAGAGGTATCCTATACTTGTGGGCTAAGGTGGGGAGATACAAGGGGAGGATGTGAAGGAGGCTTTGAACTGGGGGAAAAGGTGGCAATGAGGTGTGGCTGTAGTCCAGGAATAGTCAGGAAGCAGATAATTTAGTTAAAGTGTCTCAGCCTAATAAGGGAACTGGGCAGGTGGGGATAACTAAAAAGGAGTGCTTAAAAGAGCATTGTCTGAGTTGGCACCAGAGTTGGGGAGTTTTAAGAGGTTTAGAAGCCTGGCCATCAGTACCTACAACAGTTATGGAGGCAAGGGAAACAGGCCTTTGAAAATAAGGTAATGTGGAGTGGGTAGCCTCTGTATTGATTAAGAAGGGGACGGACTTACTTTCCACTGTGAGAATTACCTAGAGCTTCTGTGATGGTCCTGTAGGCTTCTGAGGTCATCAGGCAGCGTCAGTCTTCAGCTGCTAAGCCGAGAAGATCTGGGAAGGAGTCAGAGAGCCTTGGGCCGAGTTCCAGGGGCTCTGGGAGTGGCTGCCAGGCGAGTTGGACAGTCCAATTTCCAATGGGGTCCTGCATGATGGGACATGACTTAGGAGGAATCCTGGTCTGTGGGCATTCCTTGGCCTGGTGGCCAGATTTCTGGCACTTGTAGCAAGCTCCTGGTTGGGGGGTGGTTCTGGAGGAACACCTGGCTGCTGCGGTTCAGGCATTTGGAAGTTCTTGTGTGCTGGAGATGTGGCTGGGGTTTGTCTCACAGTGGAGGCAAGGAATTGCAACTCAAAAATATGTTGCTACTTGGCTGCCTCTACTCTATTATTGTACACCTTGAAGCCGAGGTTAAGTCCTGTTGTGGGGTTTAAGGGCCAGAATTTAATTTTTGGAGTTTTATTTAATGTCAGGAGCTGATTGGGTAATAAAATGTATATTGAGAATAAGATGGCCTTTTGACTTTTTAGGATCTAGGGCTGTAAAGTGTCTCAGGGTTGCTGCCGAATGAGCCATTAACTGGGCTGGGTTTTTCATATTTGATGAAAGAGCCTAAATGCTAACTGATTTGGGAGAGGTCGGATAAAGAAAAAGGAGTATTAACCTTGACTATGACTTTAGCTCCAGCCACCTTTTTAAGAGAAAATTGCTGGGCAGGTGGGGGAAGGCTAGTCATGGAACTAAACTGTAAGCCAGACTGGGTGTGAGGAGGGGAGGTGATAAAAGGATTATAGGGTGGAGGAGTGGAGGCTGAGGAAGAATTGGGACTTCCTCCCCTTCTGGCCTGGTGAGGAGGGGAGAGGTCAGATAGGTCTGTAGAAAAGGAAGATTAGAAAGACTCAGTGACACTTGGGGTTGGGACTGGGGAGAGGCAGGAGGGAAGGAAGATTTGGGATGAGTTGCATTAGGAACAGAGACTAGGGAGGGACCGATGTGTAAAATAATGCCTGGACGTCAGGCACCTCAGACCGTTTGCCCCTTTTACAACAAGAATTATTTAGATCTTGTAGGATGGAAAAATCGAAAGTGTCGTTTTCTGGCTATTTGGAACCACTGTTGAGTTTGTGTTGGGGTGGAGTGGCATTGTAGAAGAAAATAAGGCATTTAGGTTTTAGGTCAGGTGTGAGTTGAAGAGGTTTTAAGTTCTTGAGAACACAGGCTAAGGGAGAAGGAGGAGGAATGGAGGGTGGAAGGTTGCCTATAGTGAAGGAGGCAAGTTTAAAGAGAAAGGTAGAGACATGGAGAAGGGGGTGGGGAGCAGCCCTGGGCTGCAAGGTGGGTAAGCGGCCAAAGCAGGCATCCCTGCAATTGACTTGCCACCCCTCAATGATTAAACACCAAGAGAAGGCTGCCTTCCTGAGTCCATGACAGGTGCCGGAGTTTTGGGTCCACGAATAAAATGTGTCCCCTTTGTCTATACCAGAAAATGAAAGGTATTGAAATTAAGAGAAGGGAGAGATTGAGGCGTGGCTCCAAGATTGAAAGGAGAAAGAGTTTGAGGGATAGTGAGGGAGGTTGGGGAAAAGAGTAAAAAGAGGCCGCTTACCGGATTTCATATTGGTGAGATGTTCCTTGGGCTGGTCACTCTGAGGACCTGAGGTCGTAGGTGGATCTTTCTCACGGAGCAAAGAGCAGGAGGACAGGGGATTGATCTCCCAAGGGAGGTCCCCCGATCCGAGTCACGGCACCAAATTTCATGCACATCTGTGTGAAGAGACCACCAAACAGGCTTTGTGTGAGCAACAAGGCTGTTTATTTCACCTGGGTGCAGGCGGGCTGAGTCCGAAAAGAGAGTCAGCACAGGGAGATAGGGGTGGGGCCATTTTATAGGATTTGGGTAGGTAAAGGAAAATTACAGTCAAAGGGGTTGTTCTCTGGCTGGCAGGGGTGGCGGTCACAGGGTGCTCAGTGGGGGAGGTTTTTCAGCCAGGATGAGCCAGGAAAAGGAATTTTACAAGGTAATGTCATCACTTAAGGCAAGGACCGGCCATTTTCACTTCTTTTGTGGTGGAATGTCATCAGTTAAGGCAGGAACAGGCCATTTTCAATTCTTTCATGATTCTTCAGTTACTTCAGGCCAATTGGGTGTATACATGCCAGGTCACAGGGGATGCGATGGCTTAGCTTGGGCTCAGAGGCCTGACAATATATGTATATAAAATGGCGCTGATTAGGGAGAATGGCTGACATGATTACAAGGCAAAGTTCCATAACAGGCTGTCTGAAAGCTTGGGAAAGAAACAAGCCAGTAGCATGGCTCAGTCCAAGTCTGAAAGCCTCAAAACCAGGGAAGCTGACAGCATAACAGTCTGAGGCCAAGTGCCCAAGAGCATTTGGGAGGCTGCTGGTGCAAATTACAGAGTTCAAAGGCCAAAGAACCTGAAGTCTGCTGTTCAAGGACACAAGGAGAGGAGTCAAGCATCTGGCACAGGAAGAGAAAGAGAGTGAGAGAATCAGCAAGCTGCTTATTCCTATTTCTGCCTGCTTTGTTCTAGCTGTGTGGGCAGCCGATTGCGTATGGTGCCCACCCACACTGATAGTGGGCCTTTTTCTCCCACTTTATTGACTTGTATGTCCATCTCCTCTGGCAACCCATGTATACAGACACACCCAGAAAAATACTTTAGCAGCCATATAGGCATCTCCCAATTCAGTCAAATTGACACCTAATATTAACTATCACACTCTGCTCCCAGCCTCTCTTCCCATTTAGGGGAAGGTCTTTCCACATTGAAACTAGCCTATGAAGTCTGCAAATGGTGACTACTCCATCAAATGCACATACATCGATATAAGATAACAAGAAATATGAAAAACCAAGAAGACATAATACCACCACAAAAACGTAGAGGCTGATCCCAAACAAGCCTATAAACTTCCTGACAAAGAATATAAAGTAATTATTTTAAGGAAGATCAGCAAACTCCAGGAAAATACAGAGAAACAATTTATTGAAATCAGAAAAAGGATAAGTGATTTGAAATGAGAAATTTAGCAGTTAAAATTATTTTTTTTACATTATAAAATTATAATATAATTAAATGATTAATATTTTGAATTATTTAATTATTTGATTCTATGACTATCTTTATCATTAAATAATTTCACATTATTAAAAATCAAGTAGAAAATTTTAGAGCCTAAAAACATAATGAATGGAAAAAAAAGTTAATACAGAACGTTAACAGCAAATCAAGTAGAAGAATCTGTGAACTTGAAGTAATGTAAATATACTGAGAAAGAAGAAAAAAGAAAACAAAATAAATAAGAAAGTTTATGAGATTTATGGAACAGCATCAAAAAAGGAAAACCCAAATCATAGAAACTTTATGAAGAGAAATGGGGGAAAAAGTGGCAGAAATTTTATTCAAATAAATAATAGCAGAAAACTTTGCAAATTTGGGGAAAGATATAAAAATCCAGATACAAAGGCTGAATGTCCCAATCAGATTCAATCCAAACAATCTACATCAAGACATTATAATCAAACTGTCAAAAATCAAAGAGAGGACACTGAGAGCAGCAAAGGAAGCAAATCACATATCAGGGAGTTTCAGTAGTTTTAGCAGGGGAGTTTTTATCAGATATAGACCAGGAGAAAGTGGAATCATATATTCAAAATGCTGAAGGAAAACAATTGTGAACCAAGAATACCATACCTGGCAAAGCTATCCTTTAGAAATAAAGAAGAGATAGATTTCTCAAGCAAACAAAAACTGAGTGAGTTCATCATCACCAGATCTGTCTTACAAAAAATGTTAAAAGTAGTACATCAAGGTGAGATTAAAAGATGCTAATTAGTAACAAAAAAAAATGAAAGTATAAAACTCACTGGTAAAAATAATTTCACAACCATATTAAGAATACTCTGATACTATCATGATGGTGTGTAAATTACTTCTATAGTATGAAGGTTAAAAGACAAAACTACTAAATAATAGCTGCAATAATTTGTTAGGGGATACACAATATAAAAATATTTAAATTTTGATATAAAAACTATAAAAATGTATGTGGGTGGAGTAGATATGTAGAGTTATTTTATGCAATCAAAATTAAGTTTGTTATCAGCTTAAAATAGCTTCTATATAATATATAAAATGTTTTGCATTATGCCTCATGGTAACCATGGTAACCACAAATAAAAAAGCTATAGTAGATACACAAAAGATAAAAAGGAGGAAATCTAGGGCATATGACTAGAGAATATTATCTAATCACAAAGGAATATAGCAAGAAAGAAAAAGGACAAAGGATCTATAAAACAACCAGAATACAATGAGCAAAATGGCATTAGTGAGCCCTTACCTATCAATATATTACCTAGAAGATAAACAGATTAAATTCTGCAACCACGAAACATACAGTGGCTAAATAGATATTTTTAAAAAATCAATTATGTGGTGCATATAAGAGAATCATTTTACTTTTTAAGGACACAAATACAGTAAAGTGAAAGAATGAAAAAATATATTCCATTCAAATGAAAGCCAAAAGACAGCAAGGGTAGCTAACTTTTATTTAAGTAAAAATCTGTAAAACAAGACAAAAAGGATCATTATATAATGATAAAGGGATCAATTTATCAAGAAGATGTAGCAATTATAAACATATATGCACCACCAATCAAAACACCTAAACATATAAAGCAAATATTAATAAATCTGAAGAAAGAGATAGATTGCAATATAATAATAGTAGGGGACATCAACATCCCACTTTCAACAATGAACAGATAATCCAGACAGAAAATCAATAGCAAAACATTGAACTTGAACTATAAACTATACTTTAGACCAAATGGACCAAAGAAACATATACAAAGCAGTCCATCCAATAGGAACAGAATACACATTCTGGTTTAGAATCATATCACATGTTAGGCACAGGCACAGAACAAGTCTTAACAAATTGAAGAGAATTGAAATAACATGAAGAATTTTTTTCTGACCACAGTGATATGAATAAAATGGTATAAAAGGAGAAATTCTGGGAAATTCACAATATGTGAAAATTAAACAACATGGTTCTGAACAACAAATGGGTCAAAAAAATTAAAAGAGAAATTATAAACATCTTGAGACAAGCAAAAATAGAAAAACAACATATGAAAACTTAAGGGATGCAGCAAAAGTGGTTCTAAGAGTGAAGTTAGACCTACATGAAACATATAAACACCTGCATGAAAACAGAAGAAATATATCAAAGAAATAACCAAACACATATGTACCTGGCAGGGGAGATACCATGATCATGAAGGTGGTTTTCCCAGGGTGAAGCTTATCCATTGTACTCCGGATATGCTGACCCCTGTGATTTCCCCAGATGTAGGAAACTCAACTACAGTCTAAAACTAGTACCTCAATTACCCATGTATCCATACACTTGAAACTATACCCATTAAACACTAACTCCCTGGCCGGGCACGGTGGCTCCTGCCTGTAATCCCAGCACTTTGGGAGGCCCAGGCGGGCAGATTACGAGGTCAGGAGATCGAGACCATAAAAAAAATAAACAAAATTGGTCAACCTTTAGCAAGACTAACTTTAAAAAAAATGAGAGAAGACTCAAATACATAAAATTATAAATGAAAAAGGAGACATTACAACTGATACGACAGAAATATAAATAATCATAAGAGGGTGCTAGGAGCACTTGTACACTAACAGATTGGATAATCTAAAAGAAATGAATAAATACCCAGACACATACAACCTATCAACACTGAATAATGAAGAAATGGAAAATCAGAATAGATCAATAATAAGTAGGGAGATTTAATAAATAATTAGAAGTCTCCCATCAAAGAAAAACTTAAGACTTATTCACTGTGATCAAGTGGGATTTATCCCTGGGATGCAAAAATGATTCAACATAAGCAAATACATAAATGTGATATGCCATATTAACAGAATGTAAAACAAAAGACCCACATGATCACCTAATAGATGCAGAAAAGGCATTTGACAAAATTCAACATCCTTTCATGATAAAAACTATCAACCAATTAGGTATGGAAGGAAGGTATCTCAGTACAGAAATGCCATACATGACAAGTTCTTACCTTATATGATACATAACAGTTAAAAGTTAAAAACTTTTCCCCTAATGTCAAAAACAAGATAATGCCCACTCCAGCAGTTTTCATTTAACATAATATTAGATGCCTGAGTTAAAGCAATTAGACAATAAAAAGAGAAAAATAGACATCAAAATCAGAAAGGAAGAAGTTAACTTGTCTCTTCAAATGATTTTTTTTTTTTTTTTTTTTTTTTTAGACAAAGTCTAGCTCTGTCACCCAGGCTGGAGTGCAGTGGTGCAATCTTAGCTCGCTGCAACTTTTGCCTCCCGAGTTCAAGTGATTCTCCTGCCTCAGCCTCCCCAAGTAGCTGGAATTACAGGCATGCTCCACCACGCTCTAATTTTTGTATTTTTAGTATACAAGGGGTTTCCCCATGTTTTCCAGGCTGGTCTTGGACTCCTGACCTCAGGTGATCTACCTGCCTTGGCCTCCCAAAGTGTTGGGGTTATAGGTGTGAGCCACTGCACCTGGGCAGATGATATCCTATATAACAAAAACCCTAAAGACTCCACCAAAAATATTAGAACTAATAAATTCAGTAAGGTGTCAGGATATAAAATCAACATATACAAATTAATAGCATTTCTATAAAGTATTAACTATCCAAAAATGAATTCAAGAATGCAATTGCATTTATAATAGCTATGAAACAATAAAATATTTGGAAATAAATTTAACCAAGGAGGTGAAAGCTCTGCACATTAAACACTACAAAACAATGATGAAAGTAACTGAAGAAGATACAAATAAATGGGAATATATGTTAAGTTCAGGCATTAAATTCATATTGCTAAAATGCCCACACTCAACAAAGCTGTCTACAGATTCAGTGCAATCCCTAATGAATTACCAGGGATATTTTTCATAAAAGTAGAATAAAACAATTCTAAAATTCATATGGCACCACATACACACCACGACATCCAAATAGCTAAAGCAATATTGAGCCAAAAAAAAAAAAAAAAAAGCAAAACCAGAGGCATGACATTACCCAATTTCAAAATCTACTACAAAGCTCTAATGACCAAACTTGCATGATACTGGCATAAGAACAGACACATCAATCAATGGATCAGAATAGAGAGCTCAGAAGTAAATACATGGATTTATAGGGCAACTGATTTTCAGCAAAGGCACAAAGAACATACAGTGAGGAAAAAGCAGCCTCTCAATTAAGTGATGTTGTGAAAACTGGATATCTCCATGCAGGACAATGGCATTGAACCCATATCTTTTGTCATATACAAAAATCAACTCAAAATGGATTAAAGACTTAAATGAAAGGCCTAAAACTGTAGAATTACTAGAAAAGAACATAGGGGAAAAGCTCCATGACATTGGTCTAAGCATGATTTTTAGATGTGACTCTGAATGCACAGGCATCCAAAGCAAAAATAGACAAATGGTGTTACATCAAAAACTTCTGCACGGTAAAGGAAACAATCAACAGAGTGAAGGGACAACCTACAAAATGAGATAATTTATTTGCAAACCACAATCTGACAAGTGGTTAATATTCAAAATATATAAGTAACTTAATCAACTTACTAGTAAGAAAACAAATAATCCAATTTTTAAAAAGGACAAAGGACCTAAATAGACATTTCTTAAAAGAAGATATACTAATAGCCAACAGGTATATGAAAATTATTTGACATGACTAAGTATTTGAGAAATGCAAATTAAAATCACAATGAGATATTACCTCACACCTGTTAGGATGGCTATTATCAAAAAGACAAAAGGTAAGTATTAAAAAGGATATAGAGAAAAGAGAACCCCTGTACGCTGTTCTTGGGAATGTAAATTAGCATAATCATTATGGAAAATGGTATTGAGATTCCCCCCAAATTAAAAAATAGAACTACCATATAGTCTAGGAATCCTACTCCTGGGTTTATATCCACAGTATGATGATATGTCAAATAGATATTTGCACTCCAATGTTCATTGCAACAATAGCCAAGATATAAAATGAACTTCAATGCCTCTCAACAAATGATGAGATGAAGAAAATGTGATATGTATTCATGAAGGAATGCTAGTAGTGAGTAGTAATTTAAAAGAAAATACTATCATTTGTGATGACATGGATGAACTTGGTGGAAATTATTTTAAGTGAAACAAGCCAGGAACAGAAAGAGAAATACCACAATTTCTCACTTATATGTAGAATCTATAAAAATCAAACTCATAGAAACAAAGAGTGTAATGGTGGGCACAAGAAACTGGGAGGTGTGGTGACTGGGAAGATATTCAAAAGTCACAAAATTCCAGCTAAATAGAACTAATAAATTCAACACATCTATTGTACATCATGGTGGCTAAAGTTAGAAGCAATACATTACATACTTAAAAGTGAGTAAGAAAGTAGATTTTTAATTATTCTTACCACAAGAAAGGTAGAAGTATGTGAGGTAATACATACATTAAATATCTTTGTATACAACACAAATATATACAATTTTAAGAACGTTTTAAAAATAAAAAAGACAGATATAACACAGATGTTAAAATTGTCATTAAGGGAATTGAAAATAACTATTTATAATGTTAAGGGACAACAAAAAAGTGGACAACATTCATAAACATATGGGTAATGTGTAAGAATCAATAGAAAATGCTAAAAATCAAAAACGCCATTCACAAATGAAGATGGTCAGAGTGGATAATAAAAACAATGCGCAACTATATGTTGTTTATAAGAACCTCACTTTAAAAGTGAAGTTACTTTAGGTTAGAAGTAAAGGTATAGGGCTGGGCATGGTGGCTCACACCTGTAATCCCAGCATTTTGGGAGGCTGAGGCTAGCAGATCACTTGAGGCCAGGAGGTCGATACCAGTCTGGCCAACACGGAGAAACCTACCTCTAATACAAACACAAAAATTAGCCAGCCATGGTGGTGTGCGGCTGTAATCCCAGCTACTCAGGAGACTGAGGCACTTGAACACAGGAGGCGGAGGTTGCCATGAGCTGAGATTGCGGCACTGCACTCCAGCGTGGTCAATAGAGCGAGACTCTGTCTCAAAAAAAAAAAAAAAAAAAAAAAGAGAAGGAGTAAAGGTATGGAAAAATATATGCCATACTAGCCATATTAACTATATTAGTTCATTCTCATGCTGCTAATAAAGACATACCCAAGACTATAAAGGAAAGACATTACAAGAAAAAAACAAAAACAAAAATGACAGACCAGTATCTCTCATAGACACAAAAAGTATTTGGCAAAGTATTAGCAAATTGAAACTAACAGTGAGTGAATGAAATTTATTTCAGGTGTGGTTCCACAATTAAAAAATTAATCAGTGCACCCTACAACATGAACAAACTAGAGAAGAAAAACGATAAGATCATATCAATTGATTCAGAAAGAACATATAAAAAAGTTCAACACTCATTCATGACAAAAACTCTCAGCAAACTAAGAATACAGGAAAACATCCTGCACTTGATAGGTAATATCTGTGGAAAAATCTATAACTAACATTGTCCATAATGTTGAAAAAGTGGATACTTTCCCCTAAAATGGAGAACAAGGCAAGAATGTCTTTTTTCACCACTCTTATTCAGCATTGTATTCGAAGTCCTAGCTAGTGTGAGAAGTCAAGTAAAATAATCAAAAGGTATAAGAGAAAAGGAAAAAATAAAGCTGTCTTTGTTCAGAGACGACAATCAAAGATGATATGATTGTCTATGTAGAAAATCCCAAAGAATCAATGGAAAAAGACCACCTGAAAATAACAAGTAATTATTGCAACATTACAGGATACAAAGTTAATTTGAAAAATCAAATTTTGTTCCTATATATCAGCAATAAACACTTAGAATTTGAAATTAACAACGTAATACCATTAGGATCTATATGTGGAAAACTACAAAATACCAATATAAAAAACAATGAAACTCCAAATAAATGAGGAGATATTCTGTGTTTCTGTACTGGTAGATTCATTACAGTTAAGATGTCAATTCTTCCCAGCTTGATGTGTAGATTCAGTGCAATCTCAGTCAAAATGTCAGCACTAAGAAAATGACTCTAAAATCTATATGAAAAAGCAAAGAACCTAGAATAGCCAACACAGTATTGAAGATGAAAAATAAAGGTGGAGAGCAGATGCTACTCAATTTTAAGAAATATTATATGTCTGCAATAATTAAGAGAGTATGGTATTGGTGAACGTACAGAGAGAAGGCATGAGGAGACGGCTGGAGTTATTGATAGACTGTATTAGAGAACTCAAAAATAGATTCACATATACAATCAAATAGTATTTGACAACAGGGCAATAAAAATTAAATGGAGAAAGGCTAATCATTTCAAGAAATGGTGCTGAAATAATGGAACATCAATATGCAAAATAGTGAAGATAGACAGAGACCTTACCCCTTACAGAAATATTAACCGAAATGGATCTTAGGCCAAAATGTAAGATACAAAACTATAACTTTTTGAAAAAAGCATAGGAGAAAATCTATGTGAACTTGGCTGTGGTGATGAATTTTTAAGTACAACACTGACAGTACAATCCCTAAAAGTAAAACAGAAATAATGTTTGACATTATTAAACATAAAATTTCTCCTCTGGGAAACACATTAAGAGAATGAAAAGACAAGGCGCAGGTTGGTAGAACATATTTGCAAAACACATA
Organism: Homo sapiens; assembly: GCF_000001405.40. NCBI lineage: Eukaryota > Metazoa > Chordata > Mammalia > Primates > Hominidae > Homo > Homo sapiens. Next base: position 120,000,590 of record NC_000007.14, on the reverse strand, counting down.
TCTGAGGAAGTACTTGTATCAAAAATAGACAAAATACCCTTAATACTCAACAATAAATAAACAACCCAGTTGAAAATTGTCACAAAAAATGAAAAGACACCTCATCATAGAAAATATACAGATAGCAAATAAGCATATGAAAAGATTTTCAACATGGTTTGTCATTAGGGAATTGCAAATTAATAGAACAGTAAGATATCTCTACACACCATTTAGAATGGTTAAACTCCAGAATAAATTGACAGTATCAACTGCTGGTGAGAATGCAGAGCAACAGAAATTCTCATTCACTGCTGGTGGGAATGCAAAATGACATGGTTTCTTTGAAAGACAGTTTGGCAGTCTTTAAAAAAAAATAACATAGTCTTTTCATACATTCCAGTCATCATGCTCATAGGTATTTACCCAACTGGTTAAAAAAGAAAAAAAACATATTACCCATAACGTACATGAATGTCCATAGCAGCTTTATTCATAATTGCTAAATATTTGAAGCAACCAAGATTTCCTTTAATGTATTTGATAATGGATAATGGATAAACCAACTGTGGCACATATAAAATGAAATATTATTTATCAATAAAAACTTATTCTTGATGAAGTAGAAAAACAATGAGTTATCAAGCCAAGACGAAATGATGACTAATCTTAAATGCATAATGCTATGTGAAAAAGGCCAGTCTGACAAAGCGACATACTTTACAAGTCCAATTATATGATGTTTTGGAAAAGGCAAATTCTAAAGATGGCCAACAAATCAGCGGTTAACGGGGCTTGTGTTGGGGCATACTGCATAGGCTAAGCACAAAGATTTTTAGTGTAGTAAAATTATTCTCTATAATACTGTAATGGTGAGTACAAGGCACTAAGCGTTTGTCAAAACCTGTAAGCCTGTACAACAAAAAGAATACATCTTAATTTATGCAATTAAAAATATTTATAGGCTGGGCACAGTGGCTCACGCCTGTAATCCCAGCACTTTAGGAGGCTGAGATGGGTGGATCACTTGAGGTCAGGAGTTCAAGACCAGCCTGGCCAACATGGTGAAACACCATCTCTACTAAAAAATGCAAAAATTAGCTGGGCATAGTGGCGCATGCTTGTAATTCCAGCTACTTGGGAGGCTGAGGTGGGAGGATTGGTTGAATCTGGGAGGTGGAGGTTGCAGTGAGCTGAGATCGTGCCACTGCACTCCAGCTTGGGTGACAGAGCCAGACTCTGTCTCAAAAAAAAAAAAAAAAAAAAAAAAAAAAATGGAATTTCAGGATGGAAGACAAAATGTGACAAATGAATCTAAATTTATTACAAATGTATGAAACAAATCTGTTTTTGTATGCCTGAGGCTATCATTTGTTTTACCTTCTGTCCTGAAGATAGTTTTGGTCATTCCACAATTTTAGATGAATTGGAATTTCTCAGCACCATCTTCTAATTTTCAATATCATACTAAGCATTGTATTATCAACCTAATTATCTCTGATAGGTGATCTTTGATTATTGAATGTCATAAATATCTTATTTGGCTTCTGAATTTTTAGCCATTATATATAGTTAATATTACTGATAATATCTGGAATTATCAATTTATGTTTTTGATTAATACTGGAACATTTTTATATTATTTCAATTGTTGCCTCCTTTTCACAGTGTCTATTTTCTTTTTCTGGACTCTAATAATTTTCAAAGTGATTTTTTTTCTTCTATCTTTGTAGTCACTTGGTCACTTAACTTTTATTTCATATTTTAAGTCCCTGTCTCTATCTCCTCTATTCTGAGTAGATACTGCAGCTGTGTTTAACTTACTGTTTAAAATATAAGTTTTTAAATTTGGAATTATAAACACACAGAAACATATACATACATGTATGCACATGATTTATTTAACATTATGTATTATTTTTGGTCATGCCATATCTGAAATCTTTGAATGTTTTCATCTCTTTTTGTGGTTTCTGGTCACTCATTCATAGAATATTGATTCTTGTGTTTTCTAATTTTTGTATGAACTCATTTTATTGAGTTTGATATTTGAGTTGAAAATTCTGAGGGCTTGAATTAAGAATGCTTTCATAAAGAGAGGACTTTCATCTGCTCTGTTGAGAGCCATTTTAGCTTCTTTGAATCATCCCTTCCCTATATTCCTTTGAGCAAAGGCTTAGTCTCTTTAATATTTCAGTGATGTAGGCTTTCCCCACCAGGTTAACCTTGCCTTTTATTTCTGATCTTGCTTTCTTTGCACTGCTTCTTGCTACTTGTACTGATGCCACCTCCTGAATTCAGTGTCTTCTTTCCTTTCCTGTCTTTTGTTGTTGTTGTTTTAATTTCATTGCTTTCTATTAAGTACAGGTATGTACTAAAATATATATTTTGTATAATATAAAAGTATGCCTCCCAAGATATCTAGCCCACCAATGAAATGGTAAAATTTCTTAACCAAATTTTATGAAGATTTTTAGAACTTAATAATACAATTATACATGCACATGATTTTGTGTTCTGCATGCAACCAATTTAACAGTACAAGAAAGACTAGAGGAAGATTCAGGGAAAGATACATGGAACAAAAAGATGTATTCTCTGTTATGCCCTTTCTACTCCAAACCCTTAATGATAGTGAATGAAATATAATAGAAAAATTTATTTTTATAATTATTTGAATATGTTAGGAATTAGAAATATTCAGATATTTCTAACATATTTCCCAGAAATATAAGTTTTACTTAATTTTTATTATATATCTGTAAGGTAGGTATTATTATTATTATGATTTTGAGACAGAGTCTCACTCTGTTGCCAGGCTGGAGTGCAGTGGCGCGATCTCTGCTCACTGCAACCTCCGCTTCCCAGGTTCAAGCGATTCTCCTGCCTTGGCCTCCTGAGTAGCTGGGACTACAGATGCATGCCACCACGCCCAGCTAATTTTTGTATTTTTAGTAGAGTGGGGTTTCACCATGTTGGCCAGGATGGTCTCAATCTCTTGACCTTGTGATGCACCCACCTCAGCCTCCCAAAGTGCTTGGATTATAGGCATGAGCCACCGTACCCCGCCTAAGGTAGGTACTATTAATATTTATTGTTACTCTATGTATTATAGTTTAAGATACTGAGGCCAAGAGTAGTTATCAAATTTAGTTAGCCTATGTCTAGATGTCATGCTTTTACACCTCACTGTATTTGAAAACATTAAGCATTCTGGTGGTGTGGTGGCAGAAAGGAAAGAGCAAACGATCATAGTTTAAAAGCAAAAAATGGTAATCAAGATTTTGAATTCTGAAGGGTATTGGAGGCTTCAAGTAATTAATGTAAGATAGTGGACTAAAGTCAAGGCTACTGCTTGAAGTCTAGAACTGGAGTGAACCCCTGTTCCTTTATGAATATAAAATATATATATATATATATATATATATATATATATATATAGTTTGAAAAGGAGGCATGACCACAATACTGGAGACATATTTTTCAATATGAAATAGTGTCTATCAAATAAAACTTGAAAGTGGAGGCAGCTCATGGTGCACAAGATAAAGGAGGAACTAATTTATCACACAGAGGTGCATGCTAAGTCTGGGCATAGATTGTATGCAGTATAAACTATGTTTCATGGAAAAGGAATCCTTTACCTATAATTCTTAACAAACTTCAGGGAAGGTAGATAGAGCTTCCTTGTTACAATAATGACCTTGTTAGGAAACGAGCTTTACAGAGCAGATAATTTCATCAGTCTGATTTAAAACGAGATTACTCAAACATACCCTCCCACCCTGCCTTTTTAAGCTACTAAGAAGGAAGAAATGAGTCAACGATAATCAGATTCATCTTTAAAAAAAATCATGGTTTGAGTCTAATGCTTATAGCAAGCAATAGGTCAAGGAAGCCAGGAGACAGCAGCTGTACACACTCAACTAGAATATAAACTAAATAAATCATTTGTTTTTATAGGGGATAAAAAGTAATATCTTTCTCTCACCTCTTGAAGGGTTCATGGCTGACATCCCTGTACCAAAAGACATTAATAAGGGAAAAGCATAATGAGTTTATTTATCTAAAGTTTTATGTTATATAGGAGATTTTAGAAATGAAGGTACAAACGACCCAGGGAAATCTGTGCGTTTTTGTGCTAAATCTGATGAAAGAAGTGGATAGTTGCGAAGAAAGATGATTGGACAAAAAGGAGTATAATCTAATGGTAATAAACTGGGGCATGGGAGAAGAACTCAGCAAGGCCTGTTGGTTCAGATTCTTCTGTGTATCTGTATGACATTTCTTCTCCCCATGTATGGGGCAGAATGACTGTTACATGACAGTCTTATGACCTACTGTCAGGTGAAGTAGACCAGAGAATCCTTTTATGGATGGCTCTCACAGAGAAAGATGGGAGAAGGTCAGACAATGACTTTCAAGGTGCCTTATTTGGGGGTAACATGTCCTAAAACTGTCATTTTATAACTAACTTTCTCAATATCATCCTAGGTAAAATGCTTTAAAATTAGATGTTAGGAACTTCACATGTAGATAGGATGTAGAAGAATGAAGAAAATCTTTACATCTATGCTGATCACAAGAATATACCAGGCAAAAATATAAATAAAAATGTTGTATTGCCTAAAAAGGAAGAGTGGATACAAAAAAGCTTTGGTTAAATTAATTTCAGGGAGAAATAAGAAATTTATATCTGGTGGCAGCTTCCATTTCTGAAGAAGTGTGTCTGGCTTGTTATATATCAAATAGAAGAGCACCCTTACTAAGATAGTGAAGATGCTCAGGTAAAGGGAGAAACCAACGAAGACTGTAATGGAATTATGGTTTGGCAGGAAATGAAAGAGTGCCAAATGTAAAAACAATCCACTCATACAAGGGACAGTAAAGCAGAGAGAAATTGCAAGGCAATGTAAGATCTTGCTAGAGTTGAATCCATGTATCCACCGAAAATATTAGAATGTTGCAGCTCACTGATTTCTCAGCTTAAATACTGACGAAGTCATGAAGCTATTGAGGGCACAGGAATTTGGAAGCTAGTCTAATCACATGTAAACTCAATGTATTTGTAGCTCTAGAGCACCTGCTCTTCTTTCTTCTTTTAAATTTTACTTTATTTTATTTTAAGTTCCAGGATACGTGTACAGGAGGTGCAGTTTGTTATAGGTAAATGTGTGCCATGTTGGTTTGCTACACCTATCAATCCACAACCTAGGTACTAAGCCTCACACATATTAGCTACTTATCCTGATGCTCTTTCTCCTTCTTCTCCCACCAACAGGCCCCAGTGTGTGTTGTTCCTCTCCCTGTGTCCATGTGTTCTCATTGTTCACCTCCTAATTATAAGTGAGAACATGCAGTATTTGGTTTTCTGTTCCTGCGTTAGTTTTCTAAGGATAATGGCTTCCAGCTCCATCTATGTTCCTGCAAAGTAAATCACCTCATTCTTTTTTAGGGCTGCATAGTATTCCACGGTGTATATGTACAACATTTTCTTTAGCCAGTGGGCATTTGTGTTGATTCCACGTCTTTGCTATTATGAATAGGGCTGCAATGAACATACATGTGCATCTATCTTTACAGTGGAATGGTTTATATTTCTTTGGATATATACACCCAGTAATGAGATTGCTGGGTCAAATTGAAAGACCTGGTTCTAGGTCTTCAAGGAATCACCACACTGTCTTCCACAATTAAACTAAAGAGCTGCTGCACAGCAAAATAAACTATCATCAGAGTGAACAGACTACCTACAGAATGGGATAAAATTTTTGCAATCTATTTATCTGACAAAGGTATAATATCCAGAATCTACAAGGAACTTAAACAAATTTACAAGAAAAAAAAAATCATTAAAAATTGGGCAAAGGACATGAACAGACAGTTCTCAAAAGAAGACATACATGAGGCCAAGAAACATGAAAAACAGCTCAACGTCATTGATCATTAGAGAAATGCAAATCAAAACCACAATGAGATACCATCTCATGCAAGTCAGAATGGCGATTATTAAAAAGTCAAAAAACAACAGATGCTGGTAAGGTTATGGAGAAATAGAAATGCTTTTACACTGTTGGTAGGAATCTAAATTAGTTCGCCTGTTTAATACAATAAAAAGGCTGAATTGGTCCTTCTGTCTAATTACTGTAGAGAGTAAAGGTTTTTCAATCTTGGAGAAATAATAGAACAAACCAAAAATAAGTATAATTCCTTATATTTTATAACTAACACCCAAAATAAAAATTATTAAAATATGCTAAGAAGCATGAAAATTAAAACTTTTATTAACAGAAAGCACTGACAATAGAAACAGACTCATAGATGAACCTTAATTATTATGAGGTTATCAGGATTTACAGACAAGGATTATAATGCATCTATTATAAATATGTAAAATAATTTAGAGGAAAGGGAGAATAATTGGTGAAGATAAGGGAGTTTCAGGAGAAGAATAGAAATTTTAAGTAAGAAATAAGTAGAAATTTAGAAATTAAAAAATTGTCTTTAACAACATATTTAACACGAAAAAAGTTAGTACCATTTAACAAAATGTAATTGAGTTCCAAGAGGAAAGAATAGAGAAGATGGGGTCAAAAAACTGTTGGATAATAATAGCTATATATGTTTTAAATTCGAGGAAAAACATTATCACAATATCTAAGAAGCTCAATATATCTACTGTGTAATAAAATACAAAATAAAAAACACCCAAGCACATCATACCACCTAGCTGAAAATTAAAGATAAATGCATTCAGAGAAATTTTTTAAAAATAACAAAGGGGAACAATAATGATGATAATGAGTATTTTCTCAGTAGAAACAATAGAAGCCACTATAAAATGCAATATGTTTTAAAATGCTAAAAGGAGGAGGCCAAATAGAATTAACTGAAAACTGTATATTCAGTGAAAATATCCTTTAAAAATATGTTTTATTTATCAAAAGACCCATTAAATAAGCAAATAAGGAAATGGGAAGTCACAGAATTGGAAGAAAATATTTTATGCATGTTGATAATATTAATAATTATGCATGTTTACAATGAATGAAAAGATCATATACATATGAAAAATTGTTTTCTGCAATGTAAATAATTCCACCATATATGATCCAACAAATGCATTCCTAGGTACTTATTAAAGTAAAATGAAAACATATGTTGTTATAAAGACTTGTATAGGAACTTTATAGCCTACTTGATTGTGGTGGTTAAGCTTTTTGATGTACTGTTGGATTTGGTTTGCCAGTATTTTGTTGAGTATTTTAACATCAATGTTCATCAAGGATATTGACTTGAAGATTTTTATTGTTGTTGTGTTTCTGCCAGGTTTTGGAATCTGGATGATGCTGGCCTCATATAATGAGTTAGGGAGGAGGCCCTCCTCTTCAGTTTTTTGGAATAGTTTCTGCAGGAATGGTACCAGCTCTTCTTTTAACATCTGGTAGAATTCAGCCATGAATCCATCTGTTCCTGGGCTTTTTTTGGTTGGTAGGCTATTTATTACTGACTCAATTTCAGAGCTTGTTATTTCAGGGAAACAATTTCTTCCTGGTTCAGTCTTGAGAGGGTGCATGTGTCCAGGAATTTATCCATTTCTTCTAAATTTTCTAGTTTATGTGCATAGAAGTGTTCATAATATTCTCTGATGGTTGTTTGTATTTCTGAGGTCAGTGATAATATCCCCCTTATCATTCCTGATTGTGTTTATTTGGATTTTCTCTCTTTTCTTCTTTATTTGTCTAGCTAGTGGTCTATTTTATTAATTTTTTCAAAAAAAAAAAAACAGCTCTTGGATTTGTTGATCTTTTGAATGGTTTTTCATGTCTCAATCTCCTTTAGCTCAGCTCTAATTTTGGTTACTTCTTATCCTCTGCTAGCTTTGGGATTTGTTTGCTCTTGCTTCTCTAATTTTTTAGTTGTGATTTTAAGTTGTTAACACGAGGTACTTCTATTTTTTGATTTGGGCATTTAGTGCTATATATTTCCCTCTTAACACTGCCTTAGCTGTGTCCCAGAGATTCTGGTATGTTATATCTTTGTTCTCATGAGTTTCAAAGAATTTCTTGATATCTGCCTTAACTTCATTATTTACCAAAAAGTCATTCAGGGCAAATTATTCAATTTCCATGTAATTGTATGGTTTTGAGTGAATTTCTTAAGCTTGATTTCTAATTTGATTGCACTATGATCTAAGAGAGTGTTTGTTAAGATGTCAGTTTTTGCATTTGCTGTGGAGTGTTTTACTTCCGATTATGTGATCGATTTTAGAGTATGTACCATGTGGCAAAGAGAACAATGTATGTTCTGTTGTTTTTATGTGGAGAATTCTGTAGATATCTATCAGGGCCACTTCATCCAGTGCTAAGTTCAGGTCCTGAATATCTTTGTGAATTTTCTATCTAGATTATCTCTCTAATATTGTCATTCAGGTGTTAAAAGTCTCCCCGTATTATTGTGTGGGTATTTAGGCATCTTTGAACATCTCTAAGAACTTGCTTTATGAATCCGAGTTATGAGCTCCTGTGTTGGGTACATATATATTTAGGATAGTTAGATCTTGTTGAATTGAACCCTTTACCATTATGTAATGCTGTTGTGGGAAGTCAGGGACCCCAAACGGAGGGACTGGCTGAAGCCATGGCAGAAGAACAAGGATTGTGAAGATTTCATGGACATTTATTAGTTCCCCAAATTAATACTTTTATAATTTCTTATGCCTGTCTTTACTGCAATCTCTAAACATAAATTGTAAAGATTTCATGGACACTTATCACTTCCCCGATTATTAGGAAGAGGAAATTCCCGCCTAATAAATTTTGGTCAGGCCGGTTTATCTCAAACCCTGTCTCCTGATAAGATGTTATCAATGACAATGGTGCCGGAAGCTTCTTTAGCAATTTTAATTTCACCCTGGTCCTGTGGTCCTGTGATCTCGCTCTGCCTCCACTTGCCTTGTGATATTCTATTACCTTGTAAAGTACTTGAAGTACTTGATGTCTGTGACCCACACCTATTCACACACTCCCTCCCCTTTTGAAACTCCCTAATGAAAACTTGCTGTTTTTTGCAGCTTGTGGGGCATCACGGAACCTACCGACATGTGATGTCTCCCCCAGACGCCCAGCTTTAAAATTTCCCTCTTTTGTACTCTGTCCCTTTATTTCTCAAGTTGGCCGACGCTTAAGGAAAATAGAAAAGAACCCACATGAATATCGGGGCAGATTCCCCAATATAATGCCGTTCTTTGCCTTCATTGATCTTTGTTGGTTTGAAGTCTGTTTTTTGTCAGAAACTTGGACTACAACCCCTGCTTTTTTCTGTTTTCCATTTGCTTGGTAAATGTTCCTCCATTCCTTTATTTTGAGCCTATGTGTGCCATTACATGTGAGATGGACATCTTGAAGACAGTATACCAATGGGTCTTGGTTCTTTATCCAGCTTACCAGTCCGTGTTTTTTAATTGGGGCATTTAATCCATTTGTATTCAAGGTTAGTATTGATATGTGTGGATTTGATCCTGTCATCATAATATTAGCTGGTTCTTTTGCAGACTTGTTTATGTGGTTGCTTTATAGTGATACTGGTCTGTGTACTTCAGTGTGTTTTTGCAGTGGTTCATAACAGTCTTTCCTTTTCATACTTAGTGCCTCTTTCAGGAGCTGTCATAAGGTAGGTCTGGTGGTAACAAATTCTTCAGCATTTGCTTATCTGAGAAGGATCATATTTCTCCTTTGCTTAGGAAGCTTAGGTGGCCAGATATGAAATTCTGTTGTGGAATTTATTTTCCTTAAGAATGTTGAATATTGGCCCCCAATCTCTTCTCACATGTAGGGTTTCTGCTGAGAGGTCCACTGTTAGTCTGATGGGCCTCCTTTTGTAGCTGTCATGACCTTTCTTCCTGGCTGCTCTTAATATATTTTTTTAAATTTCAACCTTGGAGAATGTGATTATTCTTAATAACCCTGAACTAGAAACTGAAAAGTTCAACTACAAGACTGGATAAATGAGCTCTGGTTTATGCATAAAATGGAACACTAATTGATAAACAATTGTTCTAAGAAATAATATGGATAAATATCAATAATGGTTTACTAACTGATTCTACTTATATGAAATTCTGAAATATATCACTAATCTATTAGGAAAGAATCAGAACTGTAGTGCCTCTCAGAAGAAGGCATTGATTGAAAAGTGAAACAAGGTAACTTTCTGAGGTAATGGAAAGGAAGGTTCTATACCTTGTTTGTGGTATTGGTTACACGTTTACTTAAAATTTTCTGAACATATTGAGGTGTAACTATTAAAATTTATGCATTTCAACATACACAAATATTCTTTCAATAAAAAATAAATGGGATTAGTTTAAACAAGATAACTGTAAGGTAATTATGCCTATGGAAACACATGCAGAATAAGTACATTATTAGGAAATTAAGCACGTGTTTAAAAATAATAAATCGTAACCAAAAAGTATTATAATGAGAATACCAGAGAGTTTAATATTTGAAAATTGTTAATAAAATTCACATGAGATAAAAGCCATATTGTTATCTTAAGAAATGCAGATAATTTATATATGTAAGCATTTTTACGTACATTATTATAATTCATAATCTTTTTATCCTAGTAGGAATATAATTCAATGTTATTAATGTAATGAAGGAAGCCTATCAAAATCCTCTAGCAAACATCATAATTAACATGTAAACTTAATTTTACTATCAACACATCACAGTATTTATTAATGTTTTACTAGAAGGCCCTGCCAGTGTAACAGAGAAATATGTGCAATAATAGTTGAAAAGTAAGAAGAACACGCTGTTTTATTTCTTTTCTGATTCTTTGACTAGAAAAAGACCAGATATTTTAGGGGGCATTTTTACTCTTGTGGGTAAAAAAAATTAAAAACCTTCTGTGATAATTTTTGGTTTGCTCCAGCAGGAAAATCTGAAATACATGAGGCTGAAAAAACCTCGAGAAATTCACTGTCATATAGTTCCTCAGATTCTGAGCTCCCTTAACTGATCTGCCTTCTTTTCACCCCTCAGAGTCTTATGTTTGTATTATACATAATTTTCTGGGTTTTTAGTTGCACATTGGGAGAAAATTGTATAGAGAAAATTATGTTTATTTTCCCAGTAGTAGAACTCTGTGATCTTATATTTTAATGTGCATATTTAAAGTTATATTTTTATAATATATTCAAATTTATTTTGATTTTCCACCTTCTTCAAGTATACCAATAGTTTAGCCAATTTAATTTCTTTCTTAAATCATCCTTTCCTGATTATGCTTGTCACAAGTACATAGCATTTTTAAAACTTTTATTTTAGGCTCAGGAGTACATGTATAGGTTTGTTATATAGGTAAATTTTGTGTAGTGAGCATTGGTATACAGATTATTTGATTACCCAGGTAGTGAGCATAGTATCCAATAGGTAGTTTTTTGATCCTTACCTTCCTCCTACCCTCCAACCTCAAGTAGACCCGTGGTCTGTTGTTCCCTTCTTTGTCTTCAGCTGTACTCAAGGTTTAGCTCCCATTTGTAACTGAGAGTATATGGATTTGGTTTTCTGTTCCTCTGTTGGTTTTCTTAGGATAATGACCTCCAGCTCCATACTTGTTGCTGCAAAGAATATGATCTCATTCATCTTTATTGCTTGCATAGTATTACACTGTATAGATGTGCTACATTTTATGTATCCAGTCTACCACTGATGGACATTTAGGTTGATTCCATGTGTTTGCTATTGTAAATGGTGCTAAGATGAACATATGCATGTATGTGGCTTTATGATAGAATGATTTATATTTTGGGGGGTATAAACCAATAATGAGATTACTGGGTTGAATGGTAGTTCTAAATTTTTTGAGAGTTCTCCAAACTGCTTTCTACAGTGGCTGAACTAATTTACATTGTCATCAGCAGTGTGCAAGCATTCTCTTTTCACCACAACCTCACCAACATATGCTATTTTTTGACATTTTAGTAATAGCCAGTTTTATTGGTTTGAGATGGTATGCTATTGTGTTTTTGATTTGCATTTAACTGATGATTAGTGAGGCTGAGCATTTTTTCATATGCTTATTGGCCACACGTATGTCTTTCTTTGAAAAGTGTCTGTTCATGTCCTTTGTCCACTTTTTAATGGGAGTGTTTGCTTTCTGCTTGTTAATTTGCTTTATAGATGCTGAATATTAGCTTTTTATCAGATAAATAGTTTGCAGACATTTTCTCCAGTCCTGTAGGTTGTCTGTTTACTCTGTTGACTGTTTTGCTGTGCAGAATGAGTTTAATTAGATTCCACTTGTCTTTTTTTGGTTTTGTTGCATTTGCTTTTGGAGACTTCATCACAAAATCTTTGACAGGTCCTATCTTCAGAATGTTATTTCTGTGGTTATCTTTCAGGATTTTTATAGGTTTAGGTTTTACGTTTAAGTTTTTAATCCACCTTGAGCTGATTTTTGTATATGGCATAAGAAAGGGATCCAGTTTTAATATTGTGGATCTGGATAGATAGTTATCCCAGCACCATTTATTGAATAGAGTGTCCTTCCTCGTTGCTTTTTATTGTTGATTGTGTCAAAGATGGGATGGTTTTAGGAGTGTGCCATTATTTCTGAGCTCTGTTTTCTGTTCCATTAGTCTAATTGTCTCTTTTTGTACCATTATCATGCTGTTTTGGTTACTGCAGCTGCGTAGTATAGTTTGAAGTTGGGTAATACGATGCCTCCAGGTTTGTTCTTTTTTTGCTTAGGATTGCCTTGGCCATTTGAGCTCTTTTTTTACATTCTATGAATTTTAAGTAGCTTTTTTCTAACTCTGTGAATAGTTTCATTGGTAGTTTGATAGATATAACATTGAATCTATAAATTGCTTTGAGTGGTGTGGCCATTTTAACAATAGTAATTCTTCCTATTCATGGACATGGAATGTTTTGAGTTATCTCTGGTTTCTTTGAGCAGCATTTTGTAATTCTCATTTAAAGGTCTTTCTCCTCTTTGGTTAGCTGTATTCCTAAGTATTCTCTTTTTTTGTGGCTATTGTGAATGGGATTATGTTCCTGTTTTGGCTCACAGCTTGGATGTTGTCTTTGTATATGGAAGCTACTGATTTTTGTACATTGACTTTGTATCCTGATCTTTGCTGATGTTGTTTATCAGGTCAAGGAGCTTTTGAGCCAAGACTATGGTGTTGTGTAGGTACAGGATGATGTGGAAATAGGGATAGCTGGACTTCCTCTCTTTCTATCTGGATGCCTTTTATTTCTTTCTCTTGCCAGATTACTCTAGCTAGGACTTCCAATATTATGTTGAATATAAGTGGTAAGGTAGAGGCATCCTTATCTTGCTCCAGTTTTCAGGGGGAATGTTTCCAGATTTTACCCAGTTAGTATGATGTTGGCAATGAGTTTTTTTTTTTAATAGCTAGCTCTTATTATTTTGAAGTATGTTTCTTTGATGCCTGGTTTGTTGAGGGTTTTTAACATGAAGGGATATTGAATTTTACCCAAAGCCTTTTCTGCATCTATTGAGATTATATCGTTTTTGGTTTTAGTTCTGTTTATGTGTGAATCACATTTATTGATTTGTGAAAGTTTAATGAACCTTGAACCCCAGGGATAAAGCCTATTTGATCATATTGGATAAGCTTTTTGATGTGCTGCTAGATTCAGTTTGCTAGCATTTTGTTGAGGATTTTTGGATGCATGTTCATCAAGGGTATTGGCCTGAAGCATTTTTTGTTTTTGTTATGTCTCTGGAAGATTTTGGTATCAAGGTGGTGCTGGCTTCATAAAATGAGTTTGGGAATCCTTCCTCCTCAAGTTGTTAGAATAGTTTCAGTAAGAATGGTACCAGCTCTTTGTTATATACTTGGTAGAGTTTGTATGTGAATCTCTCTGTTCTTGGCCTTTTTCTGGTTTCTGGGCTTTTATTACTGATTTAATTTTGGAACTTCTTATTGGTCTATTCAGGGATTCAATCTCTTTCTTGTGCAATCTTGGGAGGTTGCATTTTTCCAGGAATTTATTCATTTCTTTTAGGTTTTCTAGCCAGTATGCCTAGAGGTATTCATAGTACTCTCTGAAGGTTTATTTTTTGTGTTTTTGTGAGATCTGTGGTAACATCCCTTTTGCCATTGCTTGTTGTGTTTATTTTGGGTCTTCTGTCATTTATTCTTTTAGTCTACCTAGTGGTCTCTCTATCTTATTAATTTTTTCAAAGAACTTGCTTTTGGATTCATTGATCTCTTGTGTGGGTTTTCACATCTCAATTTCCTTCTGTTCTGCTCTAAATGTGGTTACTTCTTGTCTTCTGCTAGCTTTGGAGTTGGTTTCCCCTTGTTTCTCTAGTTGCAATGTTAGGTTGCTAATTTGAGATCTTTCTTTCGGATGTGGGTGTTTAGTGCCGTAAACTTCCCTCTTAACACTGCTTTGGCTGTGTCTCAGAAATTCTGGTATATTTTATCTTTTTCTTATTAGTTTCAAATAACTTTGATTTCTGACTTAATTTCAGTATTTTCACAGAAGTCATTCAAGAGCAGGTTGTTTAATGTCTATGTAATTGGCTATGAGTGATTTTCTTAGCATTGATTTCTATTTTTATTGCACTGTGGTACATGAGTGTGGTTGGTATGATTTCATTTTTTTTTTAATTTGCTGAGCACTTTTTATGCCTGAATGTGTGGTCAATTTTAGAGTATGTGCCATGTGCAGATTAGAAGAATATATATTCTATTTTGGGGTGGAGTGTTCTATAGATGTCTGTTAGGTTCATTAGGTCAAGTATTGAGTTAAAATCCCAAATATCTTTGTTAGTTTTCTGCCTCAATGATATAATACTGTCAGTGTGGTGTTGAATTCTCCTACTATTATTGTGTGGTTATCTAAGTCTTTTTGTAGGTCTCTAAGAACTTGTTTTATAATCTGGGTTTTCCTGTGTTGGGTGCAGATATATTTAGAATAGTTAGGTCTTCTTGTTGAATTGAGCCTTTTAACTCTTATGCAATGCCCTTCTTTGTCTTTTTTCATCTGTGTTGATTTAAAATCTCTTTTGTCTGAAAACAGAATAGCAACTTCTGCTTTTTTTCTGTTTTCTCTTTGCTTGGTAGATTTTTCCCTGTCCCTTTACTTGGAGCCTATGGGTGTCACTGCATGTGAGATGGATCTCTTGAAGACAGCATGCTGTTGGGTTTTGCTTCTTTATTCAACCTGCCACACTTTGCCTTTTAATTGGGGAATTGGGGGAATTTGGCCTATTTGCATTCAAGGTTAGTGTTAATATGTATGGATTTGATCCTGTCATCATATTGTTAGCTAGTTATTATGCAGACTTGTTTGTGTGATTGCTTTACAGTGTCACTGCTCTATGTATGTAAGTGGGCTTTTGTAGTTGCCAGTAACAGTCTTTCTATATTTTTCACCCCCTTCAGGACCTCTTGTAAGACAGGTCTGGTGGCAATGAATGCCTTTGGCCTTAGCTTGTCTGAAAAGTATCTTATTTCTCCTTTGCTTATGAAGTTTAGTTTGGTTGGATGTAAAACTTTTTTGTTGAAAGTTCTTTTCTTTAAGAGTGCTGAATATATGCCCCCAATCTCTTCTGGCTTGTAGGGTTTCCACTGGTGGGTCTCCTGTTAGCTTGATGGGGTTCTCTTTGTAGGTGGCCTGCCCTTTCTCTTGAGCTGCCTTTAACTGGGAGAATCTGATGACTATGTGTCTTGGGAATTATCTTCTCGTGTAGTATTTCAGAGGTTGTCTGCACTTCCTGAATTAGAATGTTGACCTCTCTAGTGAGTGAGGAGTGAGTGAGGAGAAATTTTCATGGACAAAATCCTGAAATATGTTTTCCAATTTGCTTGATTTCTCTCCCTCTCTTTCAAGGAAGCCAATGTGTCATAGATTTGGTCTCTTTACATGATCCCATATTTCTCAGGTTTGTTTGTTCCCTCCGTCCCTCCCTCTTTCTTTCCTTCCTTCCTTCCTTCCTTCCTTCCTTCCTTCCTTCCTTCCATCCTTCCTTCCTCTGTTTGACTTACTTCAGAGAGCCAGTTTTGAGCTCTGAGATTCTTTCCTCGGCTTGGTTAATTCTGCTATTCATACTAGTTATTGCATTGTGAAATTCTCGTAGTGTGCTTTTTTAGCTCTATCAGATCCGGTTGGCTCTTTCTTATAATTGCAATTTCATGTATAGCTCTTGCATCATTTTATTGTAATCCTTAGATTCCCTTCATTGGGTTTTGACTTTCCCCTCAATGTTGACCATCTTTATTCCTATCTATATTCTGAATTCTATTTCTGTCATTTCAGCCTGGTTAATAACTATTGCTAGGGAACTAGTGGGATTGTTTGAAGGTAAGAAGACATTCCAGGTTTTTGAGTTGCCAGAGTTCTTGTGCTGGTGCTTTCTTATCTTTGTGGGTTGATGTTCCTTCAATCCAAAGTTGCTGTCCTTTGGATTGGTTTTCTTTTTTTTCCCCCCTCTTTGATGTCCTTAGGGGTTCAATTAGAGTATATGGTGAGTTCAGTCAACCAACTTTATTTCTGTAAGATTTTAGGGGGCCAAGGATCAACTCAGGACTCTTGGGCTGTGTTCTCTAACTATGGGGGCCTGATATTGGGTTCCCAGATTTGTTCTCTGCCACCTCAAGTTTAGGAACCTGCTGTACTGGAAATGTTCCTGGACTGCTGGTCACAACACTCTGATGGGTGGTGCCAAGGAAGGTGCTTTGTTTTGTGGTAGCAGCAGGGTCCATGACTGTTTGCTTTTGCCATCAGTAATGGCAGTGTGGCAGGGTGCGCCATCCTTAGTTGTGGCAGGGCACTGGCAGGGACAGGGGTGCCAGCCTCTTTGTGGGTGTCACTGCAGTCATGGTGGCAGCATGGTGTGGGGACACAGGAGGGCCCACAAGCAACTTTATGTGTACATTCGCACCGGCGGTGTTGTCTGCATGGGAGAGAGGTCCTGGTGGGCATGGGGCTAGCACCTTCTGTGCTCACATTCACAGGGGCAGCAGTGGCCATGCAAGGTAAGGAGTGTGGCCACTGGTTTCTGTGCATAGATTCATGCCAGTGGTAGTGTCAGTGCCAGAGGGGTGGTGGGGGCATACTGGCAGGTGTGGAGGATGGAAGTCTTCATGCACGAGAACATGCCAGCATCCACGGATGCTGGGTGCCGGGTAGGGATGCTGGTCTCCTTGTGGACCTTTTCTTTGTCAGTGGTGGTGTGGTGAGAGCAGGTGGGGTACACTCACACTGACAGCAGTGGCATGGTGGGGTGCAGGTGTACATATGCACTGGTGGGGAAAGGGAGGTGAGGTCAGCCCATGCACAGACACACAGGTAAGGTAATATGGGGTTTTGCTTTGGCGAGTGCATGCTGGCAAAGTGGCATGGGGGATGCTGTGGTGGGTGCAAAGAGCCTGGTGCATGTTGGAGGGGACTGCTCTGCTGGAGCTCTCCAATGGTCAGGCACTTCCATCACACAGGAGTTACGGTGGTTGCCCACAGGAGGCAGCACAGCTGGACATCCGAACCTGCATTGCAAGCAGGTGCAGACAGACTGGGGCCCTTGGAGAGGCCAGAAGACAAACGTGCTCTCAGGTTGGACCAGCCCCATCTCATGGGTGAGATTGCCCTACACTGTTCAGGTCTGATAGTTCCAGTAACACTAAAATCTTTTAGGGGATCAAAATGAGCCTTGTGGGATGGGCATCCCTGTCCATGCTCCTCTACAGATGCTCCTGCACCAAACCCCCTGCTCCACAGTGGCTGATTTCTGACCCTACTCCCTCTCTAAGCAGCTCTCCCTGACAATTCAATATCCTTTGGGGTCATGGTGCCAAGATTCCAGAGGTCCAAGGTGACAGTGGGTTGCTCTTTGCCTGCTCAACTCACCCCTTCTCCAGGACTTGTTGGGGTCTAGGAATGAGTCCTCGTGCACAGTAGCCCATGCAGGGTTCCCTGCTTCCTCCCTACTCCTAGGCCCAGCATCTGTGTCTTCTTTCCATCCACTCTCAATGTCTTCCCTCCAAAGATCTTCTTGGTGTGTGCCAGTCTTCCCAACATCCACAGTTTTTATTTTATAAATTTCTTACTAAAGTATTACATTCATACAGAGAAGTACATAAATTAGATGCCTAAATAAATCTTAGCAAAATGAATACACCAATGATCAAGAGACAGAACATTATCAGTGCCCAAATGTCCCTCATGCATCTTTTCAGTAACAACTTCTGTTCCTAAAGTAAACACTGCCCTGAATTTGAACATAGTATATAAATTTTGCATTTTGTGGAATGTTATGTGAGTATAAATACATAGCAGATAGTTGTTAATGCCTGACTTCTTTCATTCTAACTTACGTTCCTGAGATTTACTCATGGTGTTAGGTGTAGTTTTAATTCATTCATTTTCACTGTTGCTTAGTGTTCCACTACATAAATACCTCACACTATTTCAATAATTCAACTAGAGTTGGACATTTGAATTGTTTCCATCTGGAGCTGTTAAAATAGTGGTGTTATCAATCATTTTGTACATTTTGCAGCACATTTTTGTGTTTTATATTTAGGAGTATAATTATTGGGATATATGTTAAACAAACTTTCTACCTTTGTATATACTACCTAACAATTTTCCAAAGTAGTTGTACCAATTTACATTTTTACCACTGTTGTATGAGAGTTCAAGTTGCTCTATATTCTAGCAAAATTTTAAATTGCCTTTCATTTTTACTGTAACTATTCTGGTGAATGTATAATGATATCACACTTCGGTTTTAATGCAGTGTTGCTTTTTCTTAATGACTAATAAAGCGCAATTTTAAACTACATTATTTAAAAAATAATGCATTACTTAGAACTACTTATTGTAATTTATTGGTATGTTCCAGTGATTTTTCTGGGGAACCATACCTTCTTGCTTTCCATTTCTTTTTTTTTTTTTTTTTTTTTTTTTTTTGAGACGGAGTCTCGCTCTGTCGCCCAGGCCGGACTGCGGACTGCAGTGGCGCAATCTCGGCTCACTGCAAGCTCCGCTTCCCGGGTTCACGCCATTCTCCTGCCTCAGCCTCCCGAGTAGCTGGGACTACAGGCGCCCGCCACCGCGCCCGGCTAATTTTTTGTATTTTTAGTAGAGACGGGGTTTCACCTTGTTAGCCAGGATGGTCTCGATCTCCTGACCTCATGATCCACCCGCCTCGGCCTCCCAAAGTGCTGGGATTACAGGCGTGAGCCACCGCGCCCGGCCTCCATTTCTTTTAGTTTTCTTTTTCCTTCACCATGAACTTCATTATTTAAGAAGTCTTGCAGAGATTTTTTAGGTAATCCCTTCTAGTTTTTGTATCTGAAAATATATTATTTACATTTGATTTATGTTTTAATTACCTTAGAGTTTTACATTTCCAGTACAATAACAATAGTATTCTAGAGCTTTGTGATATTTGTGGATGGTACTTAAGATGATAACAATGATTATGATGATAATGATGAAGATCATGAAGTGGAGGTATTTATTTTTGTTGGATTTAGTGACCACTACCCTACTTAATCACTCGTGTCATGCTCCACCAATGACTGATTCTGAAAAATTTCCCATTATTGTCTCTACTTTGTATATCACATTTGTCCTATTTATTGTTTTCTTTCCTTCTGGAAATCATACTCGATTTATATGGAGACTCTAATTCTACATTCCTTGTTTTTAATGCATTTATGTCTTTTATCCAATGAATGCTTTTTTTTTTTTTTTTCAGGAGAACTTCCCCAGTATTCCAGACTATTTGGTGGACTCATTGATATCTCTATTATAGTATCTAATCTATTTAAATCTAGACTTTTTATTCTCTTCCCCCAGTTCTCATGTAGTTTTCTCTAAATCACTAAATGGCAAATATAATACTATATAGTTTCAAGTCAAAACCTTGGAATCATTTTGAGTCTTTTCATTTTCTCAGATCACGGGTTCAACACATTAGGAAACACTATCAAGTATATATTCAGTATCTAATTACTTCTCCGCACTACCACCACTTCCGGAATTTTTTGCCTGCATAATTACACTAAATTTCTAACAAGTATCCTTGATTTCATATGAAATATTCCCCTTTCCCTATGCTAATATTCCTTACTTTGAAATGTACTGTGCATGATTTTAATATAGCCACTCTAGCTTTTTCTGGATTCATGTTTTCATGGTATTCCCTTTTCCATCCTTTTACTTCTTACCTACCTATGTCTTTAAAGTGTGCTTCTTGTAGATGGAATAATGCTGGGTGTTTCCTTTTTTTTTTTTCTTTTTCTTTTCTTTTTTTTTTTTTTGGGACGGAGTCTCGCTCTTTTGCCCAGGCTGGAGTGCACTGGCGTGATCTTGGCTCACTGCAACCTCTGCTCCCAGGTTCAAGCGATTCTCCTGCCTCAGCCACCTGAGTAGCTGGGACTACAGGCATGCACCACCATGCCCAGCTAATGTTTTTGTATTTTTAGTAGAGACAAGGTTTCACCATGTTGGCCAAGATGGTCTCGATCTCCCGACCTCATGATCCGCCTGCCTTGGCCTCTCAAAGTGCTGGGATTACAGGAGTGAGCCACCGCACCCAGCCTAATTTCTACCTTCTAATTGGAGTGTTTTGGCCCTTTAAATTAAGTTAGATTATTGATATAGTAGAGTTTAAGTCTACTGTCTGGCTACTTGTTCTCTGTTTTTCTTAAAGGCTATTTCTTTTTACTTTTTATTTTCTCTTTTGGATTTCAATGTTTTTCCTTTTCACCTCTAGAATTGTTTTACTAGATCAGGCTTTTATTTTTGTTCTTGTTGTTTGCTTACTTTTTTCTAGAAGTTGCTCTACAGTTTATATTGTGAATCATTAGCCATTTGAATAATATGATATGATTTTTCACATAATATTAAAAACCTTACAATATTATAAAATTATTTCCCCTTCTCATCCCTTGTGCTATTGTTGTTATAGTTTTACTTCTGCCTAAATATCTTAAAATAGATTTTTTATTATTGCTTTAAATAGAAAAAAAGTACTGTACATGTATTCATCTATATTTACCACTTCTTGTGCTCTTTATTAATGTGTATTAATCCAAATTACGAATGGGTATATTCCTTGTACATTTAAATTCATATGGTATTGCTATGATACATTTTAAAGTTAACTATTCTATGTATTTTTCCAAGGTAAACAATTGTCCTTTCCTTTATTTTGTGACATCTTTCTCAGAGTAGACTTTAAATAATTAATCTGTTTTACTGTTTTGTATTTCTTGTTTATATAATTTAATTTTTTATATTTTGGATATTTGTCTATTTTGTATATAACTAAGCTTTTTCCCTGTTATGTTTTCTCTTCTCCATTTTGCTTCTAACTTTATTTTGATTTCTTTTGCTGTTATTTTATTTTTCTTCTAAGTGTTCCTAATTATTTGAGCTGAAATGAATCTCCTTTGCTTATCTTGTAATTTAATCTTGACTACCAAGGTGATTCCTTACTTTATTTTTTAAATTTTCTTTACTTGGTTCACTGAACCTTTTCTTCTTAATTGTCTTCCTGTTTATTATTCACTTATGCAATGAGTAAAATTTTCATTTTGTGATGTGTCTTAATGTCATCCAGTGCTTATTTAAGGATATTTAATTATGTTGATGTTTTATATTTTTCTCTACTTTATTGAGAGTTAGAGGGAAACTTTTTTTATCACCTGTAATGTTTTGATTATCAACTATTTTCTTCCTCAAGTAGCATTTTATAGTATTGCCTATTCTTACTGTTTTTATTATTTTGAAATGTCTAATATTTTTCTGAAAAACAGTAATAAGTATTTATATGGAAGAAATATTAAGAAATTTGGGCAGCTTTTTAAGTTTCTTAAATCAATTTTATGGTTTTCTTTTGGTACAAGTAGCCCTGTTTCTTTAATGAACTACATATTTTTATGAGAGAGGGAATATTGTGTTTTCTAATTTTTCACTTATGTAGAACTTTTAAATGACCTCCTTTACTTTGTTTTCCTCTTCATCACTGAGACACCAAGTGTTGCCTCTCTCTTCAAACAAGTGTCTCTCACTCCTAGAGGCATAGTCTTCTTTTGACTTCACTTCTTCCCTTAAAAAATATATATATAATATATATTAAAATATATTATATATATTAAGATATATTTAAAAATATATTAAAATATATTATATATATAATATAATATTTTATATATAATATATATATTATAAATGTTATATACAATATATGTTATATATAATATATTATATATTATATATATTATTATATATAATATATAATAATATAATAATATAATATATAATATATATTATATAATATATAATATATAATATAATATATATTATATATTATATAATATATAATATATGATATATGATATATTATATATAATATATCATATATTATATATAATATATATAATATATATTATATATATTAAAATATATATAATATATATTAAAATATATATTATATATATTAAAATATATATAATATATATTTTAATATATATATTATATATATATTAAAATATATATTATATATTTTAATATATATATATAATATATATATTAAAATATATATTATATATATTAAAATATATATATATTCCTTAAAACTAATGCTCTTATTCATGCTAATGCAGGATTCAGAAGTTTGTTTTTTTTCTCCTATTCAGGATAGAACTTTATTTTACAGGAGTAGTTCTCATCAGTACTTGTCACCACTTGGCTGCCATTACCATCTCTTGTGTTTCCCCACAATCCCCTCTCAATGTTGTTACTGAGCTGGAGCTCATCTATGGTTTTGGATATTTACTTCACTGCAGAGTTTTAAATTTAACTTCATGCTATTCTTGTAGGTGTGTGCCATGTGTGGGTTTTGTTGTTGTTGTTGTTGTTGTTGTTTCTTTCATTGATTGATATGGTCTACATTTTTGTGTAGAGTTTAAACTTTAGGTGGGCATTATGAAAAAACTGTGTAAGTATAGTGGTTAAACTGTAATGGATAATGCTCAATGACCTTTTCAAAGGCTTTCTTAAAAGGTTAAGTAAATTTTATGCTTAATTTTTTCTGATAGGTATTCTGTAAAGCCAAAAACAATCAGTACGATATGGTTTCTTAATATTTCTAATACTTGTTAGGTATACCAATTTTATTCATAAAGATAAATGTCATTAATATTTTGAGTTTCTTTTGAGTTTCTTGAATCATTTGTAAGACCCAGAAACACATTTTTAATCAATCTGCTCACTGTCCTTGTAGTTAATTCTGTTCATATTCTGTTCTCACAGATTGTATTAGTTTCTATTGCTGCCATAATAAATTTATACAAGCTTAGCCATTTAAAATAATAAATTTAATATCTCACAGTTTGGTAGGCTCCAGGTTGGATCAAGTTGTTTCTTTATTCTGGATTTCACTAGGCCAAAATTATACTGTTGTTCAGCTTGGCCATTGTCAGGAGGATCCGGGAAGAACCATTTTTCAAACTCATTCACACTGTTGGTAGAGGCTACTTCTTTGAGCTTGTAGTACTGAGATTCTCCTTCCCTTGCTGGCTATCATCTGAGGACTGTGTTTAGTTTCTTGAGGCCTATTTTTGGTCAATGAGCCTGGGTCCCTGTATTTCAGAGCAGCAATCATGCATCAAATCCTTCTCATGTTTGTTTGGAACTTTGTGACATCTGCTGCTATGTCTCCTGCTTTCAGCTGGAGGAAGTTCTCTGCTTTTAAGGGCTCATGGCATTAGCTCATGTGTTTCACTTGGATAAACCAGAGTACTCTCCCCACAAATACACCTGTGTCTGCAAATTCCCTTTTGCCATGCAGCATAACATTCACAGGTTCCAGAAGATATGTTTGGTTGACCTCATAAATAATTTACTTTCAGGCTGCCCATTTAGAGAAACATCTCCCCAGTTTCATTGTGGAATTTCTTGAAATACTTTTTTCCTAGTTTAAAAAAAATTTAGCTTGTCTCTCTTTTTTCATTTATGAGCAGTGTATTTGAAAATTTAGCTTCAATAATTATTTAATTCCTTCTTTGTACATGAAAAATGTGTTTTTTCAATGATTTTACTATCTCATGTAATTTTCTCATCAGTCTTTTTTTCACCTATCATGTTTTATTTTACACCTAATCACCTCTAATCAC
This sequence comes from Homo sapiens, assembly GCF_000001405.40. Classification (NCBI taxonomy): domain Eukaryota; kingdom Metazoa; phylum Chordata; class Mammalia; order Primates; family Hominidae; genus Homo; species Homo sapiens. The sequence goes on along the minus strand of NC_000007.14, from coordinate 119,976,430 downwards.
ACTCTATATTTGTATATTGTGTTATAGTTCACAGGTGCTTAAAATATACAACCTAATTTAATCTTTGTGATGTAAATAATTATGCCCTTTTCTGCTAAACAATATTGGAAATTCAGAGAACTTCAGTCTTACCTCAAATCACATTGTTTTAAAAAAAAATACAGCTGAGGCTTAAACCCATGTTTCCTTATGTCAAATTCTTTCATCTTTACATTAATTCGTACTGACCATGAATGTTTCAAGTCTTTGTTCACTTAAGCTGTATTTCTGTTTTTTTCATAAAACCTTTTTTGTGCATGTCAGATTTTATGAAAACTCTGATATTCTGTATATATTAATATTTTACTAAAATTTCAAACGGTTTATGTAATTTATGTTATTTAATGAATGTGCCCGTATTTTATCACCACTCTCTTTTCTAAAATTAAGTATATTGGATGCAGATGCAGTTATTTGCATTTCTAATATGATGCACATTAGTCAAAATGAGATATTATAATTTCCACACATTGAACAATGGAGTTTTGTATCAAGTTGGTTTATTAGCTATTTATTGACTACCTATTTGTTAAGTCTTATGCTAAAAGCTAGGAGTATCAAAGATGAGAAAAACATAATCACTGCCTTCAAATATTATCTTTCAAGAAACAGGTCATCAAATTCTACCCACATTTTTCCAATAACAGAAAAAAAAGAACAGCTAACATTTTATTCTGTTAGAGGGTCTCAATATGAAAAAAAAATTCAATCAAGATGTTATAACAAAAATAATGAAATCAATGTTCCTTGTAAAATATTGATGCAAAAACCATAAGCAAAATACAGCATAATAAAATTAAACCAAGTTTGATATACCATGATGCTGTAAAGATAATAATAAGAATACAAGGTTGCTTTACAACAAATGAAATCCATCAGAAACAAAAATATATTCTACACGTGCTTTTCTCTCCTTCCACTTCCCAGTAACAATTTTCTCACTTCCTTTGAACTCTATCAGCAGCATCCTCAAGTCCAGATTTCTACAAACCATCTGTTCAAGGCAGTTCAGACATTCTTAATCATGCTCCTGGACTTTTTATCTGCCACCATCTTCTGCATGGTTCCAAAGCCACATCTATATTTTAAGTATTAAGGTAGCAATCTCACTTTTTGGTATCAAAATAGTTTTCTGTTGCTGCCTGATAAATTACTGAAACTGTAGTGGTTGAAAACACTACACAGTTACTATTTCACTGATTCAGAGTCTAATGTCAGTACTCAGCATAGCTGAATCCTCTGCTCACGGGTCTTCAACTGAAGGCCACACTTTCTCATTATGGCCTCTTTTTTTTCTAACCAGCAATGAATTTCTGGTAAGTCAGCCAGTGAAACAAAGACTGTCTCAAGGTCACAGAATCATGGGAGTGATCTTTAGTCATCACTACTATATTCTCTTGGTTAAAAGCAAGTCACAGGTTTTACCATACTAAAGAGGAGAGAGTTTCACAATACTAGGATACAGGAATCATTGGGGATCATTTTACAGCATGACTGCCACACCTTCTAAATCCAATTTTCTGAGATTTTCAAACTTGAATGGGTGTGTTGAATTTTATCAAAGGCTTAGTGTATACATCAACTGTATCTATCTTATAATTTTTCTTATTAAGTGGGTAAAAAATATAAATAATTTCCTGACATGAAATAAACTTACCATCCTAAGATAAACCTGACTTGATGAAGATGTATTACATATTTATAGAATTTAGGGTTTTATCTGGAATTTTCATTGAGGCTTTTTGAACTACATCCTTCAGAATTATTTTTCTTATAATATCTTTCAGGACATTAATAACACATTTATGCTAGCTTTGTAAAATTAAGTCAGGTTATATTCCTTTTTTCTGTATTTTAAAAATTGTGTAGGATTGATATTGATTCTGCTTTTAATTGTTACTACAATTGACTACTGAAGTTAATAATTAAAATATTTTCAACTTATGATAGGTTTATCCAGACATAACCTAATCTATCCAGGAGCAGCTGCAATTTGTCTAAATTTGTTTTACATTTTCTATATAGTTACTAATTTTTTCATCTGTTGATCAATTAGTTATTGAGGAAGGACTGGTAAAATTTTCAATATTATTATAAATTTTTATTAGTTCTGTCAATTTATGTTTTCTGAACTTTGGCGTTGTTTTAATAGATGTCATATCTTCCTATTAAATTGATCTTTCTATTATTATATAATGTTCATCTTTATCTCTTATGATACAGTTTGCTTTGAAATTTACTATGTCTCTGATAGGCTTTGGCTGTGTGTTCCCCACGAAATCTCATTTGGAATTGTAATCCCATAATCCCTACATGTGGAAGGTGGGACCTGGTAGGTGATTGTATCATGGGGGCCGTTCCCCCTGCTGTTCTCCTGATAGTCAGTGAGTTCTCAAGAAATCTGACGGTTTTATGTTTTTGACAGCTGCTCTTTCACATGCTCTCTCTCACCTGCCACCACGTAAGACGTGGCTGCTTTCCCTTCCACCATGATTGTAAGTTTCCGTAGGCCTCCCAGCCATGCAGAACTATGAGTCAATTAAACCTCTTTTCTTTAAAAATTAGCCGGTTTCAGGCAGTTCTTTATAGCAGTGTAAGAAAGCACTAATACAGTCTCTAATATTAAAATAGGAACACCAGGTTTTTTTATGCTTGCAAGTTGCTAGGAATTTCTTTTTCTATTCAATTATTTTCAACATGTGTGTGTATTTTTATTTAACATTCATATTGTAAACACAACATATAGTTTATGTTGTGTTTGCTAAATAAATATTTATTTAATTTTAGAGTTATTTTTTTGATTTGCTAGATTTAACTCTACCATCTTGCTAATAGTTTTCAATTTTCCATTCTATTTTGTTTCTTTGTTCTTTCTTTTCTGCCTTTTTGGGGGCTTATCAAAAGTTTCTAGAGTTCCATTTTGTTTCCTCTATAACCTCCTTAGCTGCCACCACATTTTATATCATTTTTAGTTGCTTTAGGGCTTATAATATGTCTGCTTATCTTCTCAGAGTCTGTTTGTGACCAGCTTTTCAAACTTCACACTTTGCACCTGACATTTCACTCTTCTCTCTCCTCAAATTAATAATATTTCCCACTTCTAGTTTCCATTTCCTGCTTCTCACTTCCCAGGTTACCGATATAATATATTAGTATATTATATTCTCTCATTCTATTTTCAGGCTCCACATCCTTTGTGTGACTGTCATATATTTTTAAGTTTCATATATATCTTGAATACCATTCTTACTGAATAATTATTTTTGCTTTAAGTAGTTGATTTTGTTTTAAGAAAATTATAAGGCTAAAAACGTGTATTTTATTGTAATTACTTATTTATTTATTATTTTTGATGTTCTTCATTCTTTCCTGTAGAAGTGATTTTCCATCTGGTTTCAGTTGTCTTCAACCTCAAGGGGACCCATTCAGATTAATTTTGGTGTACTACTTGAGTTTGCAATGAATAATCTCAGTTTATGTTATTTGAATATTTGTTTAGACTGTCACTTTTAAAAGACGTTTACCCCTGATACATAATATTGAGATTATAGATTTTCTTTTTTATTTCAGCTGTTCAAGATTTTATTACATTGTCTTATCATGGAAAGTCAACTCTGGCTTCCTTTATCCATGACTGCTTAAAATTTGTTTATTCATATTTGGTGTCCAGTTGTATGACTCCAATGTGCCTAAGTTTGATTATTTCTATGTATTTATCTTGCTTGGACAAGTAAATCAGTAATATTCACCAAATTTTGGAGGTGTTGGGCCACTATGTTTTGAAACAATTTTCTAACTTTGTTTTAATATGGCACTCCAATAACATGTAGGACAGACAATTTGATATTGTCTCATAAGTTACTGAAGCACTGTTAATTTGCATTTTTCTCCTTTCTTTTCTTCAATTTGATAATTGATATGTCTCCTAGTTCTTTGATTTTCTTTTGCCATTTCAGTCTATTATTAACCTCATTCCATGAATTTTATTACTAATATACTACCTTTCAGTTCTATAATTTTCTATCTATTCTTTTTGCATAATTTTCATTACTTTGCAGAAATTCTCTACCTTTTCACTCATGAATAATTTATTTTTGTTTATTTTACCATATTTTATATAATTATTGAAATATGCATATAGTATACACTTAAGTCAGTCTTCTCTCATCTGGTTCATCTTAGGATCAAGGTCTATTTCCTATTTTAAATTTTCTTAATTACAAATCATAGTTTTATGCTTCTTCATAAGTCTATTAATTTTTGATGGAACGTTTGACATTTTGGATAATACATTGTAGAGGCACTGTGTTTTCTTATTTTCTTGTAAATCATTTTAATTCTGAGTATAGCAGGCAGTTTACATACTGGATTATCAGTTTGAACTTGTGTAATTTTGTTTCTTTACCTGTTTTCCAAGCTCCTTTACCTTTATTGGATTCAAGTCCTTCTGAATTTTGTCAGAGTTTAGTTTTAGGTCTTGTTAAAGCAAGTGTGGCCTATATGATTTCTGCATTCTCAGCTCAGTGGGATAATTATGTTCTGCTTGGATTCCATTTCTCTGTGTCACAATCTACAAATTGTCTCCAGTCATGGAATTTTGATTGTGGGGATCACCTCATTATCATTAGTGTCTATTCTTTCAGGGATCACAGTCTCACACTGCCTATTGTCCATTTTTGGAAAACTAATTTTATCACACATTTTGTGCAATATTATGTTTGTTTATGTTGGATACACTAGTTTTTTTCTTCCTAGCTAAAGCAGAATTTAGTTCATCTTTTATAACTAATATTTATTACTCAATAAATCAATTATTACTATTTTCAGCAATTATGACTTATTTATGTCAACATTATCATTGACATAAACACCTTTGTAAAATTAGGCAGAAATTATTATATTAATAATCACTATTATTATCACTTTTATGCCACAGCATATCAGGAATCACAGTAAAACAGAAAATATTTTTCAGAATCCTGGTAAAGTCTGTGTTTATTCTAAGGACTGATATCTACTCCTTTGACCTACTTCTTAAAATGATCCCAAACCTTAGAACAGAGAGAGTAAGTTAGGTTAAATGGCAATTAATTGGTGGTGTCTTCTAGAGTGCTGTGTTGAGGGGGTCACTGAGGAAACATCCAGTATTATGAGAAGAGTTCATAAATCATTAGTAATGTGGGCCCAAGGGATTATGTCATACACTGCATATTTTTATAATTATTGCATTGGTCATTTACATAAATTATGGAATCAAAATTCTCAATCATGCAAAAAATATTTTAGATCTATTTTTAGCAGGATACTGTATACCACTTTATTACTGGATATCTCAAACCAATTGTAGGGTACATAATTCTGCCCAGAATTATAAACATCAACAATAAAAGACTGAAAGAATGATCACTCTTAGGAATAAAAAGGCATATCAAGCAACATTAAATATAAAGTTATACCAGGGCTTTTTGGTTCTGACTAAAGACTTGTCACTGTGCAACAAAGCCTATGTACATTGTCAGAATCTTTTTTTTTCATCTTTTGAGTGAATCCTGGTAAAGTGAATTTATGTTGCCACTTATCAACTGGTTGATATATAGACTATTGGGAATATGTTCAACTCCCAGGAGCTTGATGAAATGACTCAAGGAGTAGAAAATTCTAAATAGTTTCACAAGTTGCCTATCATACTTGTTTGACCATTGGAGCCAGTTTACCAATAAGTCTAGCAATGTACAATAAGAATATCCTGTGTTTGTACAGCTCTATGTCATTTAAAATGCATTGTTACATACTAACATATTTTACTTCATATTGACCCTGAAAGTAAGTTGGTCAAAAATTATTATTCTCCCTTTAGAACTGAGAAGTTAAGTATAGTTCATAGCTGAGATTTCAGAGTCAAAATGCAATGGTGTTTCCTTTCTACGTGACTATCTCTTTAATGTAGCAAATATTTCCTTGGATTGACACAGGAAAGAATTTCTCTGCTGCTCTGGTTTCTTCACCACTGAACTTTAATTTAGCAGATAAGTGCTTCCAGTTCTTTCTGTGTGTTCAAATGTCTACTTGAATGACACACTCATGGTCCTACTTTGGTATATTGCAAGGAATGTTGACTGCCTTGTGTTTATTGATGCAATGTCTGAAAAGTGCTCTGGCTAAAAAGTTCAACGTAAATGCAAAATATTATTAGTATTATGATTGTGTAAATATTCAATGGTTAATATCCCTTTTAAACATTCTTTCTCCCTCATGAAGCAGCTATTATTTATAGCCTGTATGATATTTAAATAGCAGCTATTTTCCCTGGCTTTGCATTGCAGGGAACAATCCTGTCCATACAAATAATTGTGGTATGTTAGAAAATATAATTCTGGTTTTAGGATTAGAAAAAAAAGGTATTCCACAATTTCTTGCACAATAGTTGGAACTCTGTGATGATGTGATCTGAAGGTAGTTTTAATATATACATTTTTCATTACTTAAATTAAAAAAACTAAAGTTGTAAATAGATTAATGACACGTTTATCTCACTTAAAAAGACAAGCTTCCCTTACATGCGCATACTTCAGAGTACTTAGAAGCTAAAATGTAAAAATTTTCTTTATTAACTAAATTAAATTACCAAGACTGCAATTAGAAGCATTTTGTTACTGTGATTATTATGTAAATTGTATTGATAAAATTGAATTTTCTTTTAGAATATTATAGAGCAGATCTACTAATTTGTTTTCTTCTGTTATTAAATATCTATAATGTCTCCCTTCGAATTCCCAGCATAGTTTAACTATGAACACTAATATAGTCAGTTATTTGAGGGAGGGAAGTAGAAAGTTTTGGGGGCATACATATTTTTGTTAAAATCTCAGCTTTGCCACTCTCTACCATCTTAACCTGAAGCAAGTGATTTAATCTCTCTGAACCTGTTTCATGATTTGCATTAAATAAAAAATAATATTTTCATTTAAGAGTTTCAATTGTGTGTGAAAATATACAATATACATAAAGTACCTCTCATATAATAAGCAGAACTATAGATATTATAAGGTTTGCTACTGCTGACTAGTTGTATGACCTTTGAGAAACAAGAAACAGGATTATGTTTTCTGTTTCAATTTCCTAACTATTCAATAAAAACTGAAATGCCACCTGCCTCTTTTCTGCCTTGAAAGAATGAAAAAATGCAGACAGTAGTTGCTGGCTTGATGCCCAAACCATTCTCTTTAATTCGTCAGGGAGTTTACAACCACAATATGAAAAAATGAAAAATTATTTTTAACTCTTTGAAAGTACAGTGCTCTAATACAATGAATATATCACTATACCCCCATTCTCCCTACCTTTTAACTGTAAGTAGCTTTTAATCATGCAAACCGCGCTCTGGAGGATGTATATAATGCATATTCATAGCACATATCCATACACATGGACACATTCTGTATGTTATTTTTCTTGAATTTTCAAAGCAGCTAATATTCATGGGGAATCATTTGATGAATGCAAACATTATTATTATTTATAATATATAAATAATATAATATATAAATAATATATTATAATTTATTTATAATATTTATTATTATTTATAATAATAATTTTTTGAGATGGGGTCTCGCTCTGTCACTCAGGCTGGAGTGCAGTGGCAAAATCTCAGTTCACTGCAACCTTGATCTCCCGTGTTCAAGCGATTCTACTGCCTCAGCCTCCTGAGTAGCTGGGACTACAGTTGCATGCCCCCATATCAGGCTAAGTTCTGTATGTTTAGTAGAGAATGGTTTCACTATGTTGGCCAGGCAGGTCTTGAACTCCTGACCTCAAGTGACCCACCCACTTCAGCCTGCCAAAGTGCTGGGATTACAGGTGTGAGCCACTGTGCCCAGCCTGCAAACATTATTTTTATATCTGTTATTAAAAAAAAATTTCTGCTAGCTAAAAATTAATAAAGAGCAAGGAAAATGCCTAGAATCTGCAATATAATAAATATTTCATGTAAGTGTATGTTGTCTCATGTTCCCAAGCAGTATTGTGTTATCCAGGAGACAGAAAGAAAAAAAAAATTTACAGTGCAGCCTTGAGGCGTGAATACCTTTTTTACTACACAAATGGGAAATCCACGTGTTTAACATAACCTACTCTTATTCTAGGTGGGGAACAATTTGAACTCAGTTTTTCTTTAGATGTTTAAACTTTTTTCATATATGACAGATTATTTTAAGAGAGGTTAATGAGATGCAGTGATTATAGCTATTTTCCTTTTAAAATCACTTCTTTATGAAACATTTGCAGCTACTTGCCCATATTTTAAACATTTCAATATTATAATTTCGGACATGAGTTGAAAAAAAAGTATTAATGTACTATCTTTAACTCAATTATAATTCCTCATACGAATACATTTTTTATAGCTATCAATCTTGGCAACCAATTATTTGTCATTTTTATCCTATATGTGACCATTAATTACATGCTTATATTTAATTTTTATTATTTGTAAAATGCATTTAAATTACCATGTATTTCTACAATACACTTAATATTTGTGCACTAAGACTTTGAAAGCTATTCAATGTAAATTTTTTATTCATTTATCACTTAATATTTATTTTGATTTATTTAATTCTTTTTTATTTAATTCTTATGAAAAATTTGTGATTATAAAATGGTAACTGATTATTGTATACATCCTGATAATATATACATTTACAAGAAAGATATAAAAACATTTATGAAACTTAATATTCCATACATGTAAAATTTATTTTAGTATTTTTCTTCAAAATATTGCAATTATTGAAATAATCTGTGTATTAGTCCATTCTCACACAGCTGTAAATACAAACCTGAGACTCGGTAATTTGTTAAGAAAAGAGGTTTAATTGGCTTATACATGTGTTGGCTGTAGAAGCTTGTTTCCGGGGAGTCCTCAGGAAACTTATGATCATGGCAGAAGGCCAAGGGGAAGCAGCCACAGTCTTCACATGGCCGGCAGAAGAGAGAGAGAGAGAGCAAAGTGGGGAGTGCTACACACTTTGAACCAACTAGATCTCATGAGAACTCTATCATGAGACAGCACTAGGGGGATGGTGCTAAACCATTAGAAACCACTTCCACGATTTAATCACCTCCCACCAGGCCCCTTCTCCAACCCTGGATATTTCAATTAAATATGAGACTTGGGTGGGGACACAGAGCCAAACTGTATCAATATGCCATTCATTTAAAGAGAAAAATATATATTAAAAATGTAAATCCTCCCATAGTTTGCTTCCTCAACATGATCTTCTTCTTCAGAAGAGCCTCTCTCTCTCTATATATATATGTGTGTGTGTTTATATATATATATATTTTTTGAGACTGAGTGTCACTCTGTCGCCCGGGCTGGAGTGCAGTGGCGCGATCTCGGCTCACTGCAACCTCCACCTCCCGGGTTCAAGCAATTCTCCTGCCTCAGCCTCTGAGTAGCTGGGATTACAGGCATGTGCCACTATGCCTGGCTAATTTTTGTATTTTTAATAGAGGCGGGGTTTCACCGTGTTGGTCTGACTGGTCTCGAACTCCTGACCTCGTGATCCATCTGTCTCAGCCTCCTGAGGTGCTGGGATTACAGATGTGAGCCACTGCGCCTGGCCTAAACAAATATTTTAACCATAAATAAGATATATACCTTATTCTATAAATCATTATTTTTGCTAAAATAATATAGATTTACCTCATTCATTTTAATAGTTGAATTGCATTTTATAATACAGATACACTACAGTTAATTTGGCCAATAACTGTTTTTACTTGTTTGCTCTTACAAAAATGATGCACGATTTCAATGGCTATTTCTAAATGTATGAACGTCTTTGCAATCTAAAAATTGTAAGCGTTTTTGTCACATGCCCTCCAAAAATACTATAGCAATTTTAAATATTAGATATTATCAGACAATGATTTTTTTCCTAAACTTACAGTGGAAATCATATTTTACTTTTGCTTTACTTCACTTGACATGGCTATTAGTTAGACTTACTATGTTTGCCTGGGTCAGCCATTTTCATTCCCATTTAATTTGCTCCTTATTTACCATGTCTTAATTTCTATAGATATCTTTGTTCTCCTTGTTTAATCATAATAGTACTTTATATATAATGAATATTAATTTAACTTCATATTTATTGAAATTTTTTCCCTCTATTCCTTATTTAAATTCATTAAATGCTATTTTTTTGCCATATGGAAGCTAAATTTCATATAGTCAAATCTATTAATTACTTCAGTTAAGTTTCTCCCCTTCCTATTACACTTAGCAAATACTCTTTCCAAACTTCTGTTAGCATTTTCCAATATTTATTAAGCTCTTTAAAAATATTCCAGTTATAAAATATTTACATTCTTAACGTTAGCACCAGAAAATAACAAATACCATTTTCTTCTACCTAAGAGAAATAATAGCATATGTAAGGTTAAAACTCTGTATTTCTCTTAAACCACACTGGCTTAATTTTGATATAATTATATCATAGTTACGGTTTGTTAATTATAAATTCATTTATTACAAACGTAGAATCCAGGAACCACATTTATGTCCTGATGGGTAAGAAAAAATGAAACATTTTCAGAAATGTATACTGAGCACCTATTGTAAGTATATTAGGGTTCTCCAGAGAAACAGGGTGAGTTGGCCAACTAGAGACCCAGGAGAGCTGATGGGGTAGTTCCTCTCCAAAGGCTGGCAGTCTTGACCCAAGAAGAGCCAATATTTCAATTTGAAGGCAGGAAAGACCAATTGTTCCAGTTAAAGGGCAGTCAAGCAAGAGAAATTCTCTCTCACTCAGAGGAGGGTTAGCTTTTGTGATTTGTTCAGGCCTTCAACTGATTGAAGGAAGCTCACCTGCATTAAGGAGGACAAGCTGCTTTACTCAGTGTACTAACTCAGAAGTTGATCTCAGCCAAAAACACCCTGGCAGAACACAGAATAATGTCTGACTAAATATCTGGAAATCCTGTGGCCTAGTAAAGTTGACCCATAAAATTAATCATGACAGTAAGCCAGGTGCTCTTCCTGATGACAGTCACAAAGCAGAGAACAAAACAAAGCTCTACCACCCAGGGACCTCAGATGACAGCCTATGAGGGGTGTGTGTGCATTTGTGTGTTTATGGGGGAGAGATATATGATAAACACATAAGCAAATACTCAACATAATCTGTCTCTCTCTTTCCTTACCCTCCCTTTTTCTCTGTTTCTGTCTCTCTCTCTCTTTCCCCCTCTCCTCCTCTTTCTCTAATAGGGCAGAAACATTTCAGCACATATGTTCATACATTACATTTAAGGAGTGAGTCATGAAATTATCTGTGGCAGCAGAGTTTCTGATATGGGAAATAGAAAGTTCAAATGCCCTGTGTTTGGGAGTATGGCTGTTGAAACAGTCCACAAAGGAAGCAGTTTAGAGGAGGCAGATGAAAAAAAGGCATTGCCAAAAGCTAGTCTCTGGAAGAATAGGACTCAGAAATAACAATGAATTGGCCTAAGAAGCTATGTGGCAGAAGTAAGATCTGGACTCAGTGGAATGCAGAATAACCGTGTTAGTATGATGGCTTTGTTGACTCAGTGGAATGCAGACTGATCATTTTAGTATGATGGATTTCAAACATTATTTTGGCTTCATCAAAAACATGTAGGCTGTGCACAAAGCCTCATGGCATTAAACACCAAGAGATCTTTTAGTTTCAGCTGGACATTAGCTGAAACCAGAAGTTTCTAAGACTATATTATAGGCCACATTTAGTTCCAGTCTACATAGGTGGATCTAGATTAACAATTATAACATGCTCTTCTTTTTCAGTGAGTTTCCTTTGTAGTTGTCCACATGATACACGATACATGGAACTAAGATTCAGTGATGGGAGCTACCTTGACTTAAAAATCTTATGCCTCACAAAAGCCAAATATTTTCTTTAAACCCCTAAATGCTTCTCTGGAAGGGGCATACTTAGTTACAAGAGTCCCTACAAGTCAGTCACTGCATGAAGAGAATCCCAAATCATAATGTTTTCCTCAGGTAGATTCATTTACATATGCTTCTTCCCATCTATTCAGATAAAATTTACCAATCATAGATTTTTTTAAAGTGTTGTGTAATAATTTTGTTCACAATATTATCCTTATATTGTTACAACAAGAATAGAATTAGTCAGTTAATGAAGGCCAAATTCTCATACCATTCTCACAGAGACAAGTAGAATATAAGATCTTATTAAAATCTAAAACAACAAGCAAAAGTGGCTTCCATATCTAGCCATGATAGTATTAATTGGAAGCATATTGATCTTTCTGTCTTACACAACTGTAATAAATAAGGCAAAATTTTTATTCATTGAATAGGAGTCTTTGAATCTTTAAAAAAGACATAAAAAGCAAAATGAGATCCCTGTTTAACCAAATATATGCTTGTGGCCTATGTCAAGTTCTTGGGAAATAAAAGCAGAGTATGTGTTGGGGGAACCAAAAAATGTAGATAAGCAAAACAGGATGGCAGTCTTACTGAGTTGAAAAAGCAGAGATTAAGGGTCAGGGCAGTTGAAGAGCTGGAGTCTGTGACAAAGCATACTAAAATTAGAAACTGTTCATCTAAAGCAGACTTGAAACTCCAGAACTGCCATGCCAGAAGATGAAAGACCAAGAATAGATAAATATAAATGGCTATCTTTTTTCTTTTATTAATTTCTGTTAAAAAAATGAATTTGTATCTATAATCATAATACATATATAAATATATCAATAGTACCATAGATTCATGAAAATGAATTATATTTTTGAAATAATCTTATTTTGCATAATATAGTCAAATGGCAGGCAAATATCACTTATAAATATAGAAGCCAAATTTCTTTTTTTATATATATATATTTTTATTATACTTTAAGTTCTAGGGTACATGTGCACAACGTGCAGATTTGTTACATATGTATACATGTGCCATGTTGGTGTGCTGCACCCATTAACTCGTCATTTACATTAGGTATATCTCCTAATGCTATCCCTCCCCACTCCCTCCACCCCACAACAGGCCTCGGTGTGTGATGTTCCCCTTCCTGTGTCCAAGTGTTCTCATTGTTCAATTTCTAATCAATATTAGCAAATTTAATCCAGCAATATATAAAAAGGACAATATATCATGATCAAGTGAATTATTCCAGGGATGTAAAGGCTCTTTTCCTTTTTTTTCATTTGAAAATAGTGCACACACCATTAACAGGATAATAAATCATAAGAAGTAAAAAATAAAAATTAAAAGTTCGGTTCAAAACATTAGAAACAACATTTGAAAAACTTCTAACACATATCCATAATAAAAACTCTCAACTCTGTACTAATAGGGAACTTCATCCATCTAATAAAAGATATTTACAAAAAAGCTCAGATAATATACAATTATAGAAAGTTATTATGTCATAAGTTATATGGTGAAATACTGAACAACTTCCTTCATAGGCTGAGTTCAAGGGAAGAATGACTCTTCTAGTCAACATTTTATTGAATGCATTTGGTGAAATATTAAAACTGTCTATCAAAAAACAGAAAATAAGGCAATGTTATTCGCTCTCTTTTATTCAAAACATCTATTTAACATTATATTCAAATAAAAAATAGTAAAATAACATTAATTTGAATAAACAAGTAAATTATCAACATATGTTGATGATCTCATTACTTTTTTAGAAATTATACTAATCCATATAAAACTATCAGCACTAATAAGTGAGTTTAGTTAGGTTGATAGACTCAAGCAAGTATACAAATATATATTGTATGTTTATATACAATAGAAAACAATTAGAAAATAAAATTAATAAATCAATTCCATTTATAACATTGTCAAAAGTTTTATAAATAGATTTGAAAACCATTGAAATTCTGAAATCTGAAATCATTAAATGTGAAAAATATTGAAATTTCAAAATATTACAATAAAATCCTAAATAAATACTTACCATTCTAATATATTAAGATAGTAATGATAATGTATCATTTTCCTACATTTTGATTTATATATTCAATGTGAACTCAGACAAAAAGTCCATAAAATTTTTTGATGGAAATTAACAAACTCATTCTATAAGTATTTGAAAACATAAATGATCTAGAATAGGAATCAACATCTTTCTAATAACAGTACCTTGAGTTCTGTCACCAACAAACTAACGATCTGTTTTTTCAACTATATACTGCTAGTTTTCTTGTTAACAATCATGACCTAAGAAGTTCAAATAACATTGCAGTGAGAAATATGTAAATGTGTTATAGACAAGAAAAAGAAACAAACAACTAAAAACAACAACAAAACCCACTTATTTTCTAGATTAGATCTATGACATTAGCATGAGAAGGCAAAAAAGCTTTCAATAGTTTATCTAATAGAGTAAGAAAGTGGTTTGCCTAGCTTCATTGTCTTTATCTCAGGTTTTTTTTCCTACTAATTATGCAATTCAAATTAATGGCATGATTTGACAGTGTAAGATATTAAATAAATCTATCTTTATCCTCCTCTTTTTAAAGATATCCATTTTTATAGCAACACTAATGCTGTCACATAGCTTTCTTTTCACAAAATTCTGAGGAGATTCATTGGAATTCTTACTCAGAAAATTTTTGGAATTCAAGAATTTGGAAATTCTATTCCATGAAACCCTATTGATATAAAAATTATACTAAAAGTAATAGGGCAGATATCAACCTATTAGAAAATTGGAACTTTAGTGCAAAAGCAAAAAAAAAAAAGGCTGAGATACTCAGCGACATGCAAATACTAATCCTTAAACTGAACATAAGGTCGCAGAATGAGGTACTGATAGAATGAATATACTTATTCTGATCTGAACTACTTTGGTGATATAGCAATCACAGGTTCTTAAAAATTGCTGAACCATTCAAAAAAATCTAATCCCATTTTTAGAATTAGATTTATAGATTTTTATGTGCATGAATCATCTTTGAAATTTCTGTGATTGCCCATGGAATATCTTTGCATATATCACAAAGTTTCCCTAAGATGATTCACTATCAGAAGAAACTGATTGTTCCAGAAGTGTATTATACATCCCTAAATAAACAAATCCATGTTATTTGGTGCTGACATTATAAATAGCAGATATTTCTTATAATGTAGCCAAATTTTGGAATGTTTCTGATCTAAGTCACTCTATAAACATGCTTTCTTTTTTATGAAACTGCTTAAATTGAACTAAGAAATTACCCATAATCATGGACCATATGTTAATGCTACAATCAAAATTGCAATTACCCTCCCTGCTACATACACACACTTATACACACACACAGAAACTAACTCAGTGTGTAAAACTACAGTCATCCCTTAATATCCTTGGGGGATTCATTCCAGGGCCTCCAGTGGATGCTGAAATCCATAGGTGCTCAAGTCCCTGATTTAAAATGGTGTTAGTATTTGCATATAACCTACATAAATCATCTTATATACTTTAAATTATCTCTAGATTACTTACAATGAGTAACACAATGCAAATGCTATGTAAATAGTTGTTACAGTATATTGTTTAGGGAATAATGACAAGAAATAAAAGTCTGTACACGTTCAGTACAGATACATCCATCCATTTGTTTTCCCCTGAAAATTTTCTATCTGCAGTTGGTTGAATACACACATGTGAAATCTAGTGTATTAAATACAGTTGACTGACTGTATTTACATTTCTTTATTCAAATTGATAAAAGCTTACTTTTAGATCCCACAGTTATTTAACTATTAAGGATTTATTCTGGTGCTGCTAACATTCATATTGTGTTACCTAACATGCTATAGTTCACAATTCTAGTTATGTAAGAAATAATGTAGATTATTCATATTTTGCAGATCATGTAACAAATTAAGTAATAAATCTGAATCTCCTTTGTAGAAGACGCCTCTCATTTTACTGCTTAGAAAGTTACACTTAGAAATCTGGCATGACAGCTAAATTCATAGAGTGTGTTATTAGTAGAATCATGATTCCCAGTGCCTTGCTTATTATATACTACATGAAATAGCAGGGTAGGCCCTGAAATCACCCTTGAGTGTGTATCAGGAGAAAGTTTAGCTTATAATAACCTGGAGTCTTAAAAGAATTAAACATTTTAATGAAAGTATTTCTAATACTAGTACATTAAATAAAAAAATACACTCTTTAAAGTAGCATGATATAGGAAATAAATGGTGTACTTTATCTAAAAAAGAGTGGATA
Organism: Homo sapiens; assembly: GCF_000001405.40. NCBI lineage: Eukaryota > Metazoa > Chordata > Mammalia > Primates > Hominidae > Homo > Homo sapiens. The sequence goes on along the minus strand of NC_000007.14, from coordinate 119,960,147 downwards.
TTTTTATTTTTAGCAATACAGAATGTGAATAATCTAGGTATAGTTTTTTCTCCTCAAGAATGACAGATAAGCTAAGCATACAGAGAACAAAACTGATTACTCAAAGTTTAGTCACACTTAAATTACACAAAGAGCTGAATTCTGACTGCATGTATTCATGGATGTTAAAATAAGTGAGAAGATGTGGCAAGAATTCTTTAAAGGCTTTTGTGTTCCTTATGGAGTCACCATTTTTTTTTTAAATTGCCCATAGTGAGGGTCCTACTTCTGTGAATGCTAGATACAATACCTTCGTGAACAAACAAAAAAAAAATATCCATCATAGCTAGGGAAAACAGCAGATTTTTAAAAAAATCATGGACTCTATGTAGTATCATTTTAGGAATATAAATCATCTTTTCCCTCATGATTTAAACACACCAGTATCAAATAGCCTTATGGTTGTTCCTTTGAATAGATAGGCTTACTTATTTTTATCTTTTGCCTATACCAAAAGTATGCCATCCATTTACTTTGAGCATAGTTTATCATTACATATATATATAAGAAAATCAATAATGACTAATATTATGAGCTTTTAATATGTGCTATGCCTAGGGCTCAGTATTTGACATATATTACCTCATTCAATGCACCCAACAAAACTGTGAAGCAGATACTATTTTTAACACAAGTTAACAATCTAAAAAGTGAGGCCTTGAGGGACTTAGTAAGGTGTATAAGGCCATAAAGCTAATACGTGTTGGAACCAGTGCTTGAATGCATACCAACTGGATCAAAGTTAAGATTTAAATCATTATGCTATGTTATATGTGAATATATTGATCATTTACTTAAACAATTTTTTATGAATCAGTGATACTCCCATGCAAAACACATAACTAATAAATGATCTGTATCAGTAAGAATTAAGTTTGGCTGCATACAAGGGTAAGTCTAAATTAGTGGTGGCTAAAACAATTTTCTGTGTTATATAAGACCAAATCTAGGCCTTGCAGGGATGATGTGTTGCCCTGCATTGTCCAGAATTAAGTAAATTCAATTTTTTCCTTCATCATTCCTAGATCATACCGTTTGTCCTCATTGTCCACAATGGCTAGATGTCAGCCATTACTTCCGCATTTTTAGAAAGTGAATGATAAGATCCCCTCTTCATTTTCTGTCCTAGAGGTTGTAATTTCGCATTCTCATACATCTTTTTGAAGCCATCCTCACAGGGCTAACAAGAATTCTGGACAGAAATATAGCTATATTTAAGCATTAATCAGGCTGCACTCTGATCTACTTCCTTCTAACTAACAGGTAGCACTAGATACTGATCATTTGCATCTTCATGGCCCCTATAGATAGGAATTCTGATATTAGAACTATAAAGCTTGTGTTTAAGAATTAATTTGCATCCTGATTGTTCTTATAGTTAAGATCTCTGATGTTAAAATCATAAGACTTTTTTTTAAAGGATCACCATTTTTCAGATTGTGAATGCCAGCAGAACAGCTGACCCCAAACAGCTTGAAGACCCCCACAACAGAACTGAATCAGCATGAAAATGCAGTTTCTCCACCTCTCTGTTCCATGACTTCACCCTGCACTCTTCCACCAATCAATGGTCTCCACACTTTGGTCGACACCAAAACGCTTAAGAACCCAACCCTAGCCCCAAATTCCTTGGGGAGACAGATTTGAGGAGTCCTCTTACCTCTTCATTTGGCAGCCTTAAAATTAAAACTCTTTCTTTGCTTCAACTTAGTGTCTCAGTATATTGACTTGCAGTGCATTGGACAACAAACCTATCATAGTTATATTATTGGCTGCAATTTAGTCTATGTTCACATCTATCTAAAAGGAATAGTGGAAAATATAGTGTTAATTTTGAGTGGGTATAAAACTGATAAAAATTAAAGGCTCTATTAATGTAGAAGGAAAAACGATCTATTAAGGAACAAAATATCTAGTTTCGGTCACACAAATGAACACATAGATGAATAAAGAAAGAAATAAAAACACTATGTTTGCCAGAATCCAGACTAAAAATAAATATTAAATTAACTATAGCAAAATAATTTTTAGAGAAATCATGAAACCAGACTTTTAACTTTCAAGCATTGAAAATACTTGTTTTTGTTTTTGTAAAATAAATGACAGGCAAATGTACTTCCTCACCCTTCTTAGAAAAGAAAAGTTAACAAAAATAGAATTAGACAGTGTATGTAATAAAGGAATTAAATGTTCTTCAAGGTAAAATGGTTATGTTCACAAGGTCTGAATCAATTTCAGACTATCACAGGTTGGGTATACCAGAAGCAGCTGTTGAGATGAAGTTTAAAGCACAAGATGTTTATTATGAATCAACACACCTTAAAGGAAGGGAGAGGAAGCAGAATTGGACAGAGAGTGAAATCAAGTCAAGCTATGATGCAAAATTGTCAAAACTCTGGCCAACAGGATAAAATATCTGGAAAAAGGATTGCCTGTCAGAGTTGCCTAATAGTGATGGAAATGGCTAGGCCTCTCTAGTTCACCTCACCTCAGTCTCTAGATGTGGTCAGCTATGGAAAGGTGTGACTTGGGCAAGGCCAGTCTTGCAGTTGAGGTGCTGATTACAAATATGTACTATTTTCCCTACTTCTGTCTCTAGGCCACTGGTAACTGGTCCATGTGACTAATTCAGACAGATCATTTGAATGCTGAATTATTACATGTCATTTCTAGGCTGGAACAATACATTGCTTATGCCAGATGCCCCAGAGCTTCTTTCTTCTAACATAGTAACCAGCAACATAAGAGATAGTGGTTGTTCAATCTATCTGGGTATCTGAAAGACAGACAATAATCATCAAAGCTCTTCTGCTGATCCATGTTAGACATACAAATTACATACATCATTTGGATTAGAGGTTTATTTGCTACCAAAATATAACTCAGTGAATCCTGATAGAAATCCTCATGGTTTTTTGTTTGTGTGTTTTGTTTTGTTTTGATCATGGAATCTTTACACTTAGATGGGCGAATTCACATACACACACAAAAGGTTGTGCCCAGATAGAAGGCTATGCCCTTTTATGTATGTGTCTTATAAGCAGTATATAGTTAAAAAAATCTAGCCTGATATATATTTAAGCCAAACCTAATCTGATACAAGTATCTAAGAAGGTTATGAGGCCAGTGTGTGCAATTCTGAGTGTACAAGATATTGTACAAAGTTCAGTTAATCGAAGATTTAATTCATGTCAGAGAATGTTTCTAAGAGGAAAAAGAAAATACATTGACAGAACAAATGTACAAAAAATATCCAGTATCTATTGCAGAGTACATAACAGTTGAAATCTGAAGAAACATTTTCCTTATAGGCATAGGTAATATTGTTATAAAGGGAGGTTGAAGTTAATGGGTGATATGAGAAATTAAACCTGGATGGGGAACTAGTATAAGCCTATCAAACCTGCCATTCCAAGTCTATTAGCCAGGTTCTGAGAAGAGAGAGAGAGAGGTTTGTTTCACCTCATTTAAATTTCTGTCATGTATATTGCCTATACCATTCTCTTGTCAAGTAAGCTATGCTGTTTCATGAGCTTTCATATTGTCTTCAAATGTTATTTATAACATGTACTCATTTATTTTTATTGTGCTTATCTCTTTTCTCTAAACAGACTTAGCCATTTATAACCTAATTCTCTATCAGTTATATTTCTAAATTATCCCATACTATGTAATACAGAACCTAGTAATATATTAGAAAAATTAGTTTTGAAAGTCAATGTTTTTCTACATTCCAATACTGGCTCCACTTTTTACTCTCTCTGTGATTGGAAGTTCTCTATTCATGTTACAAAATTGTGTAGATAAAAGTTTATAATATAAAAGAGATTGTGCTTTTTCCAGATGCCCTAACAAATAGAAAAGTACAAATAAACTTTACATTGTTCACCTCAACCTAATAACATATCAATAAAAGCATGCATTATTTTTATCAATATAACTGAAAGGCATTATACATAAATATTCAAAAAATACAAACATTTGATTCTAGTGTTTATTTTACCACCAACTTGGAATATACTTGTGAAAGTCAGTTAAATTCTGAATTTTCATTTTGTATCTGAAAGTGACAGAAAATAACATTTTAAGTTTGCATTTTATCATATACTTTCCCATTTATTCCTCAGAATAAAGCAGAAATAAATATTACTACCTTTATTTTAAAGATGAAATCAAAGGCCTCAGAGGTTAATAACTTGCCTGTAATAAGTGAGGAACATGGAATTTAAGTTCAAGCTAAGTCTCCTATATCTGTAGTCTCTAAATTAAATTGTTCTATTCAATTATAAAATCAATAGGTGTAAATATGACATAAATTGGGAAATAAAGAATAGCTATTAAAACTACAATGTTGACAATACCTTTATTACTTAACCTTTCTCTTTGAGGTGAGGCTTAATTGAAACTTATAACACCACCAAGGAAACAGTTACCATATAAAATAAAATTAGCTAACATTTTGGTATGGACCACTTTAAAGAAGCTAACACAACTTAAAAGTAACATAAAATAAAACACATTAATTTCAGTTATTTGTAATGGGCTAAGTGAAGTAAGATAAGGAGAAAAATATGTGATTGGGAGTTAAAATAAGTAGTAGTATGAATATTTCCAGTTAGGGTAAATTCTGTGTTCCAGAATCTTGAAATATTTTATCAAATGTGAATTTCTGTATTGAAGAATTGCCGACATTTGGGCACAGAGTAAGAACTGAGGCCATATCTTCCATTAGGTCTACCAATATTTTTACATGTACCTTTGATTTCGGAATATATAGAAAAATAAAAAAAAACCTTTTTTTCCTTTAGCATATAAAAAAATCTCAAACGCATTCCTTGTATTTTTTAAAATTAAACCTTTAAACTACATGTTTAGTTTAGTGTAGGGCCAGAGGGAAATTTCCTCTCTGCCTACTGAAGGTTTGCTGAAGCTGAACTGACAAAAGGCAGATTAATAGGAGAAAAAGACAAACCAAATTTATTTAATACACATAAGCATGTGGGAATCTCAGGAAAATAATTACCTAATAACTTAATGAGATCTAGATGCTTATATATCCATCTTTATAAGGGAAGGGAAAATGAGGGGTTACAGGAGTCGATTATTTTCAGATGGAATTGAATGAACCCAAAGAACAATAGCCTGGGACAAAGTGTCTCTGAGTTCTATGGGAGGTGGTGGTAAAGGGTGGAACTTCACTGTGAACAAAGGTTGTCCTATGCTTCAGATAAGTCTTCCAGGCAACCACTCAGAGCTACCCTCAGAAGAATTAGTGTAAATTCTTTCTGTGCATGGTGATGTCTCCCAGTCTCTCCTCTTTTCTAATGGTTAAACTTTCCTGGTTATTTGATGAGATACCTGGGGAAGGGGTTTTAAGACGCTAGCATTTCTTTTGGAATGAAGCTTCTCTAGCCAGTTAAGAAAACTCCAGAGCAAATCCTTTCCAGCACTTTGGGAAAGAAAGAAGATCAGAGATACAGGGTGCTGGGGAAAGGTTGTAGAGAGACCTTGGTTTTGGGGCTTATTTCAGATGCCTTTCAATTTTCTTTAATCAAAGGCACTCAGAAAGCCAAAGCATCATATTTTGGGGCATTGTTTTATGAGCCCAACATTAATTAACATAATTTAGTACAAACACAATAACCAATCATTATACATTTAAGCAATCAACTACTAGTGTCAGCTTTTCTAGTTAATATATCTTTAAGCGAATATGAACCATCAGTTGTTGAATTTAACTGTCATATAAGGTGTACATAGTAATTAGTAAAAGTGTTTTCCTACTTTTATAGATCAAGAATCTGAGGCCCTGGAAAATTAAGTTATTTTCCCTAGAACAAATATCTAGTCAAGATTTTAATTATATGGCAATTGAGGTATTTTTTCATTACACAACAGCATTGTCTCCTTTTGCAGAACATTTCTATTTTTCAGTTTTTTTAGTAGAAATTATATCATTCTAAATACAACCTATTTCACTGGGGGCTGTAATTTACATAAATACCATTTTAAATGATATCAAAGTGCACCATATCAGTTAAGAATATGCATTTTTTTGAGTCAGATAGATATAAGATTAAATTCCAGTTTTAATACAGCACAAGGTATGTGATCCTGGGCTAGTTATTTAGTTATTTGCCTTACTTCCAAATTTTTATTGTGATAAAACATATTAACATGAAATTTACCATTTTAACCATACGACAATATACAGTTCTGTGGCATTAAGTACATTCAGATTGTTATACAACTATCCCCACCATTTACCTCTAGAACTTTTTCATCTTGTCCAATTGAAACTCTAACATTAGTAATATGATGTATAATATTATGATGAAGACTAAATGAATCAGAGTCTGCTAAATATACCCTATGCTTATTTCATTTAGTCTCCACAGCAATATGATGACATACATGGTTTTACTAATGTCAGAGTTTTACTTGAAGAAGAGGAAGATGACGTTATTAAATAGGTGGGTCAAATAAGAAAATAAATGAGTGATGGCAAACAAAAACTCAAATATAGCAATGTATACATTGAAAGTATACGTATTCCACTAGAAGACAACAATTTTTATATTTGAATAACAAGAAAACCAAAATGGAACCATACACATACATACAAATCATAAGCTTTAAATATAATGGAAAAAATATTAGATTAAAAAGATCTGAAAATAAAATACCAAATGCTCAATTATAGTATCAGACTGTAACATGTTGAAACTTGCTAGCAGATAGAGCAAGTATTAAAAAGTCAGTAATTATATAGAATATTTAACAACAAAATTCAAAAACAAGACATAGTTTACATATCTAGAATGCTGAAACTAACAACTCTGAATATGCCTTTTACAAGTACACAGAAACACTTACCAAAATGGTCCTTTTTCTGGGAAATAAAATGAGTCTCAAATTATTGAAATGACTTGAATAATTTCACAAGATTCTATAAACAGCTGAATTACAATGAATTTGTATCAACAGTATTGAAAGAACTTCCTCAAATCAATAAGCAAAACAGACAAATACAAAACCCAAATAGAAAAATCGGCAAAGCAAACACTTCACAAATAAACGTAAAAGAAAGATATTCAGCATTATTGGTAATCAAGATATTGCAATTAAAATATTTTATATCATCACATACCATTGTAACTAAGAAACTGAAAAATAGAAATACTATGTCTTGATTTGAAAATGGAGCAGCTGGATCTCTCATATGCGGAGTTGGCCGGGTAGATTGGTATAACCACTTTAGGAAACTGTGTGCCACTTATTTTACTTACTGTAGCTAAACATATGCATACATGTAATGTACATAATTTGCATGAAAATGAATGAAGCATGATTCATTTCCCTGTGCCCTAAAATGTGCAACTTGTTTGGCAGTGTTTCCATCTTACTTTGTCAAAGTGAAAACATTGTTTTTAGGTAATGTAATAAACATATTTATTTAAAACTTGTTTTTGAACATGTTGTTTTTGAGAAGATTTTAAAAGTGAAAAACATGTTTTTACCTGGTGTAAACAAGAGGTTTACACTGGAAAGAAAGCTTGAGGAAGCAGTAATAAGGCTCTATGCAATGATCCCTCGCTCCTAAAACCCCCCAGGCCCTTAGTAAAGGTTTTAACACTAGCCTGGTCAGTCATACTGTCACTGAGAATCAAGCACCAAACATTAATTTCTCTATGTGTCTCATGAAGAATCAGATATTCTGCAAATGGTAAAATGCTAACTGTAAATCTATTTCAATGTCCTTTTCAGTCAGGAAAAAGAAAATATTGGTAGTGGGGTTCAGTATTATTTCTGTTGTGATTCAAAGGTATCTGTGATTCAAAGGCAGTGAGAGGATGACCACTCCTGATGATGTAGTGTCTCAAATTCTGTTCCTTCTCGTTCTTAACTCTCTTCCTCAGGTTGTTGAATGAAAATAAATGTGAATATTGCACTAAATGAGTATGTGCTTGTCATCAGTGATATCTTTTTATGTTCCCTGCCTTTTGATTTGCTAAACCTAAACCTAGAAACCCGGTGAGAGGTGACAGCGTGCTGGAAGTCCTCAGAGCCCTCGCTTGCTCTCGGCACCTCCTCTGCCTGGGCTCCCACTTTGGCGGCATTTGAGGAGCCCTTCAGCCCACCACTGCACTGTGGGAGCCCCTTTCTGGGCTGGCAAGGCTGGAGCCCACTCCCTCAGCTTGCAGGGAGGTGTGGAAGGAGAGGCGCGAGCGGGAACCGGGGCTGCGTGAGGCCCTTGCGGGCCAGCTGGAGTTCCGGGTGGGCGGGGGCTTGGCGCGTCCCGCACTCGGAGCAGCCGACCAGCCCTGCTGGCCCCGGGCAATGAGGGACTTAGCACCCAGGCCAGTGGCTGCAGAGAGTTTAGTGGGTCCCCCAGCAGTGCCAGCCCACCGGCGCTGCGCTCGATTTCTCACCGAGCCTTAGCTGCCTTCCCGCGGGGCAGGGCTCGGGACCTGCAGCCCGCCATGCCTGAGCCTCCCACCCACTCCATGGGCTCCTGTGCGGCCCGAGCCTCCCCGACGAGCACCACCCCCTGCTCCAAGGCGCCCAGTCCCATCGACCACCCAAGGGCTGAGGAGTGCGAGCGCACAGCGCGGGACTGGCAGGCAGCTCCACCTGCACCCCCAGTGTGGGATCCACTAGGTGAAGCCAGCTGGGCTCCTGAGTCTGGTGGGGACGTGGAGAGTCTTTATGTCTAGCTCAGGGATTGTAAATATACCAATCAGCACCCTGTGTTTAGCTCAAGGTTTGTGAGTGCACCAATCGACACTCTGTATCTAGCTGCTCTGGTGGGGCCTTGGAGAACCTTTATGTCTAGCTCAGGGATTGTAAATACACCAATCAGCACCCTGTGTTTAGCTCAAGGTTTGTGAGTGCACCAATGGACACTGTATCTAGCTGCTCTGGTGGGGCCTTGGAGAACCTTTATGTCTAGCTCAGGGATTGTAAATACACCAATTGGCACTCTGTATCTAGCTCAAGGTTTGTAAACACACCAATCAGCACCCTGTGTCTAGCTCAGGGTTTGTGAGTGCACCAATCGACACTCTGTATCTAGCTGCTCTGGTGGGGCCTTGGAGAACCTTTGTGTCCATACTCTGTATCTAACTATCTGATGGGGACATGGAGAACCTATGTATCTAGCTCAGGGATTGTAAACGCACCAGTCAGCGCCCTGTCAAAACAGGCCACTGGGCTCTACCAATCAGCAGGACGTGGGTGGGGCCAGATAAGAGAATAAACGCAGGCTGCGGGAGCCAGCATTGGCAACCCGCTCGGGTCCCCTTCCACACTGTGGAAGCTTTGTTCTTTCGCTTTTTACAATAAATCTTGCTACTGCTCACTCTTTGGGTCCACGCTGCTTTTATGAGCTGTAACACTCACGGCGAAGATCTGCAGCTTCACTCCTGAGCCCAGCGAGACCACGAGCCCACCGGGAGGAACGAACAACTCCAGAGGCTCTGCCTTAAGACCTATAACACTCACCGCGAAGATGTGCAGCTTCGCTCCTGAGCCCAGTGAGACCACGAGCCCACCGGGAGGAACGAACAACTCCAGACGCTCTACCTTAAGAGCTGTAACACTCACCGCGAAGGTCTGCAGCTTCGCTCCTGAGCCAGCGAGACCACGAACCCACCAGAAGGAAGAAACTCCGAACACATCTGAACATCAGAAGGAACAAACTCCAGACGCGCCACCTTAAGAGCTGTAACACTCACCGCGAGGGTCCGCGGCTGCATTCTTGAAGTCAGTGAGACCAAGAACCCACCAATTCCGGACACACCGGCACAGTGTTGACAGACAGGAAGGTAGGACAGGAAATGTAGCTGAAATATAAGAACTTAACTGTCTACCAAATGATTACTTATGTGATCGTAATTCTATGAGTTGTCTACCTGGGATAAAGGATGATGAGGATGGGTTTCTGGCAGCTAGGACAATTATTTGAAAGAAAACATCAAAAGCAAAAGAAGTCCCCAAAACAAAAGTCTTAGGAATGAGAGCATACGTTAGGGCAAATCTATAAATTTCAAGGAAAGGATTCTGCCATGAGTCAGGAAAATTCAAAGTTCCATGACTCCTACTTAATATTTAAAAGAAGACGATACTGGTTTTCTAACAGATCAAGAAGTAAAACTAGAGGTGATGGATATAATTAAAAATTAAATCAATAGTCATGCACAAAAATAATATCAGGTCTCTACTGAGGTATGTATTCAAACAATGGAAACATTGATGGCCAGGGCCTAACGAAGCCATTAATAATCATAACAGTAGCCACTGAATTAATAACCACATTGGAACGATGGAATGGATATAGTAGTCACAACCAGAAAGGTATAAAGGACCTCTGTGTGTAGAAGAAACAGAACAAATTAAAAAGACAGCAATGAGAACTATACTAAGAAACAAAACTAAGTTACATAGCATTATAGCTCCTATAGAAAAAAATTGAGGAATTGATAGATGCCTTCTGAATGACTGAGAATATGGCACAGGGTAAATATTATGCAGTTAAAATTAAATATAAAAAATATACGTTTATTCATACACACAGATATGTATGTGTGTGTGTGCACATACGTGTTCAGCCATTGTCTGTGAAGAAACATAAAGAGGGTGGCCTGCCCCTCCTCTTGGGAGTTATGTCCCAAGGAGACCTGAAGCCTCTGTCAGCCTGAGAACACAAGTTGTGGTAGTCAGAGACCCCAGTTGGGAGGCTCCACATAGTGATGAGGAATGAGATTGGGGTCCCGCTTAAAAAAGCAGTCTGGCCACATTTTGTGGGGTCATTGTGCTGTTCTAGGGTACCGCTTCCACCACCTGGTCGGCTTCGCCTCTCCAAAGCCCCAAGGCTGGAGCTGCTAAGTCACTCAAACAGCAAATATGGTGGCTCGCTCCTTCCTCTGGGAGTTTCATCTCAGGGAGTTTTCAAATCTCTGTAGGTCACAGAACATCCACAGGAGTGGCTAAAGGCCCTGACTGGGAAGCTAAATGATGAAAACACATGGACACATAGACAGTAACAACACACAATGAGACCTTTTGGAGGGTTGAGGGTGGAGGGTGGAAAGAAGGAGAGGATCAGGAAAAATAACTAATGGGTACTAGGCTTAATACCTGGGTGATGAAATAATCTGTACAGCAAACCCCCATGACACAAGTATACCTATGTAACAAACCAGCACATGTACCCCTAAGCTTAAAATAAAATTAACTAAAATGAATATAATGGCAAAAAAAGAAATGTAGAGAAAAATATCTTGAAATTCGCAATGGATAGCTGCATTTCTAAAAGCAAAATAAGTGTGTTACCGATAGATAGTATAAAATAATATTTAGATATAATAAAAATGATAAATAACATAGTGGACAAAAGAGGGAGTGAAAACAAGAAAATGCCCTAACTGAAAAAACTTTATGCCACTAACACAAAAACACTGCTATGATTCAGATAATCTGAAAAAACAATGTAAAAGTCCTGGCAGAGAAACCAAGGATTGTAGATTGTAACCAAAACCCAGATTAAAAAAACAGCGAGAACAAAACAAAAACACAAAGTAGAAAAAAAAAATGCAGTGCACTATAGAGTTCAGGACTGGAACCGATCTAAATAAACCCTCAGATTAGGAAATATATGACCTATATACCTGGGAGTCTCAGATTTTGGTCACATCAGATGACAATTCTGTCTATACAACCACATCTGTTACATATAATTCCTAAAGTGATAAAGAAGAAAATCAAACAATAATATATTGAATAGACATACAAGTAATAATAATTCTAGAGCAAGCAAGTCATTGAGAATAAAAATAAAACATAAAAATGAGACTTCCTGAAAAGCAGTAACTAGGAAATGGAACAATGGAGACAATTTTTAGTATAGTCGTTAAGAAACTATAACATTGTAAAAAGCACCAATTTATGAATGCGTAATAGGAATGAATACTATTTGAAGAAAAAAAACTCAGGAAAATTGGAAACAAACACAATTTAACAGAGCTCATAAAAGAGATAAAACTAAGTGAAATCTTGAAATACTTTACATTGACCAAATTGTAAATACTTGTCAATATAACATTACAGGAGGATTAGAAGGTATAACAATAATACAATATCTTTTAGACTAAAACCTTATTAGGCAAATAATATTTCCATGTAACTCTCCATTGGGCCAGTCTTCCAATCTCTATTGGAAGAATAGAGATTTATTGTCGATGTTAGGAATTTAAATGGAAAATGTCACTAAAATTGCAGGGCTGCTTCACAGCAAAAAATAACACATGAGATTTTAAACAGCCCCTAAAAATGCATGTTAATAATTTAATATAGAGTTTGCATTACTAGTAACATAGGAAAGTCTTCCCCACTTGGCCTTCACAAAGAAAGGGGCCTTTAACACAGTTACTAGGTTACCTTATAGTCTGGTAATAGCAAACAATCTATATAGAATTTAAATCAGACTTCAAAGGAAGAAATAATAGTAGAATATTTTATTGATAATATCATGATCAAGGCAGAAAATAAGAAATAGTTAAGAAAAAAAGCTAATAATTGCCAGCCTACAAAATAGAGAGGATAATGTATACTACAAATATCGGCAAAATTGACAGAAAATGTAATTACATTCTTAAGATCAAGCCTTAGGAAGTTAATTTACAACTGCAAAGATAGTGAGAGAACTTGGGAGATTTATTTAACTCCAGAGGTATGTGCTTCCATTTCAAGGCAAAATGAAGGCAAGACCTAGAAGGCATCTCTAGATCTTAAAACTGCATATGCTAAGGTTTTCTCTTGCTCTTTGTGAGATGTATTTACAGTCCCCAAAATTAGAGTGAGAACCCAGGATCCTTTCCATCCTATCTTTCCAACGTTTCCAAAACCAAAGGTTTTGCTTTCTCCTTCTGGGAAGGGAATGGGAGGCAGACCTCTTTCTCCTATAAATAAGCAGATAAAATTCATTTTCCTCTGTTCAATGCCTATGTTGCAGACTTTGTATAAGATATTTGACTTGGTTTTCAGTAAGTCACCCCAGGGATAAGAATAGGGATATAAGAAAACACATTTTTATTATTTGCTTTTTTAAATTGAATAAACATAGATTCTGTCTCTGATACCTACAGAGTACCCTATGTGTATATTCAAGCTAAAATTAATAAAGATGAATTTTAAAAATGTAACAAGAACTCTTACCACATTCTAAATGAAGATAAAATTGCTTAAGTATAGTGGACATGTCCTCAGAAGCAGGGATGCACTACCTAGTATATAATAATTATTTCAAATCCACTTCAAAGGAATTAATAATTCGGAGGTCAGCATTTGATGAAAGTGGAGGTCTCCAGTCAGATCTACGGATTTATTTCAAAGCTATGGTAATTCAGATCTGGGCAGAAATAATGTCAGGTAGAAGTAACATGTACCCTCTAACTACAAAGAAAATGGTAGAAAAGAGGGATAGACTACTAAAAACAGATATACAGAGAAAAATAGTTTCAAAATAATTAATGGAAAACTGATATAAGAACTGTGAGATTTCAAGTGAATAAGAAAATATAAAAGAGATAAATTTACCTTCTACAATATATTCAAGTGATTATTATTATAATAATATATATTCAAGTGAATAAGAATATATAAAAAAAGATAAATTTACCTTCTACAGTATTATTATTCCCCACTTTTCTCCTAGAAAAGATCCACCTTAAAAATTAGGAAAAGTAGGCATAATTCTAAATATATGTATAAATTGTGGAAAAAGACAAAAATTATATGTGATATCTGGGGAGGTAATAGCCAGAGAAGTCCCTGAATAAGCTGAGTAAGCTGAGTAGCTGTAGAAAAACAGATCATGCCATGGAAAATATAGTATTAATACTAAAGCCATTCTACCCTGTTGTAAGAACACATTATGAAAATATTTGATTAATGCATTCAATTATGAAGCTCATAACTCATGCTTTGCTCAAGACTACCATAATATTCCTCTACTCTTTTATCTATTTTAAGGCCAAGAATATTTATGATATTTGTTTCAAATCTTCAAATAATGACTATGTAATATTAAAAAGAGCCGCCTCAACAAAAATAGATGATAGAGTTCTAGAAAACTTTGGCATATGTTAGGAGCAAGCTATTACTTTATGAAACCTGAGAATAACACTATAGATTTTGAGGAGGCATGTCAGATATTACCCTTAGAAGTAAATGTTACAGAAAGCAAACTTGGTATAGCCTAGATGTACAGTTCACTAATGAATAATTAGAAAAGATGTAATTACTTGACTGTATTTCACTCATCAGATATAAACTTGCAAATTTATTTAACAGATGAACAACAAAACCAAACTTAGGCTGGTCAATTGTAGGGGATTCAGCATCAAGAAGGAGCAGAATACCCAATACATCAAGAAAATGGCAATAATAATATAACTCTCAAAACTATGGGCAATCTGAACTAAACTGATACTTGAGCTAAAATTATCCAAATTATATAACCTGGCCCATGTAAAAGCACTTTTTAAAAATCAGAAATATTTTGAATATTATAACATCCTTCCAGACTCTGCACAACATATGACTTATAGGTACACTTTTTAAGAAGCACTGGTATAATTACTGTACAAGGTACATCTCTGCATCCATGGAAATCCAGGAAATGCAACTATTATGAAAACTATGTAGATAATATATGTACAACAGAAATTTATTACTCATAAATTATTAAGAAAGGCATACTAAACTTTTAAATAGTGACCAAGATATGGAATCATGATGTGGACATGTGAGAATCAAGAAAATATAGATGAAACTTCCCAGAAATGGCTTGTGAATCTCATGATTTGTATATGAATCTAAAAAGAAATTCTCCTCCTCCATCCAAATAAATCTGTGTTGAAAGTGTTTTCATTCTACCTTACCAAATTGTAAACATGTTTTTAAGAAATAGTATAAACATATTTCTGTAAAGCTTGTGTTTGAACATGTTGTTTTGAGAAAAGTTTTAAAAAATTAAAAACAAGTTTTTACCATAAAATAAGTAATGTAAACAAGATGATTGCTTTGGAAAGAAATTTTGGAATAGCGCTGAACATTGATAAAGTTTGTGCTTAGACACTTGGCTGCTCAAAGTGCAAGTTTTAGCATTAAGGCCCATCCAACCAAACTGTCATTGATCATCACTTATGGAGCATTCCTGATGAAGAATACTGAAAAACTTTTTCAGACTGAGGCAACATATCATTAGGATACTTCAACCTCTTTCTGCAAGTCATAGAAAGAATATCTTGCTAACAGAGGTCACACTTCTTGACATAGCAGTGGCTCAAGCAGTGGCAGACTGTTTCTGACAAGATAGTAGGCCCCTATAGCGTTTTTCTCTTTCCACTGGCTCAAAACCTACTTGGCTGGTTGAAGAAAAATAAATGTCAATATTGTTCTCATTAAGTATCTGCATGTGTGTTGGATTGATCATTTTTCTTGGCCTTAGTATCTTATCATTTAGCATCCCAAACCTGAGAGTATTACTTTTAACTTTGAGTCATTTATAAGAACCCAGTAATTCTTCTAGCTATGTGCCGAATATAAATACATATCCACTAGCATATATGCTAATAGCAGCAATTTTCTTAATAGCTGAAGATTGGGTGCAATTCAGATATTCATCACTAGGAGAATGGATTATTACAGTGTGGTATATTTTAGATCATGCAATACTAGAGAACAATGCAACGAAACAAATTGAACATGTTTTTATGACTGATGTGGTTTGGCTCTGAGCCCCCACCCAATCTCATCTTGAATGGTAATCCCTGTGCATTGGAGGAGGGGCCTGGTGGGAGGAGACTGAATTGGGGGCAGACTTTCCCCTTGTTGTTCTTGTGATAGTGAGGGAGTTTTATTGAGATCTGTTTTTTTTTTTTTTTAATGTGTGTGGCACTCCCCATTTTTTTCTCTCTCTTTCTTGCTGCCATGAGAAGATAAGCTTTGCTTCCCCTTCGCTTCCCACCATGATCATAAGTTTCCTGAGGCCTCCCAGTGATGCTTCCTGTGAAGTCTGGAGAACTGTGAGTCAGTTAAACCTCTTTTCTTCATAAATAACCCAGTCTCAGGTAGTTCTTTATCGCCGTGTGAAAACAGACTAATACAGAGACTGAAATTCACAAAAGTAGTGTTGACTGAAAGAAGCCAGACACAAGTGTATATCATGTATGGTTGTCTATATATAAACTTCAAAAACAAGCAAAAATAATTTACAGCATTACAGGTCAAAATAGTAGTTACTGTTGGAGTGGTGAGTCAATAGAGGGGGCATGATGAATTGCTAGTTGGATTCTGTTTGTTAATCTTCATGTGAGTTAAATGGTTTTCATTTTGTAAAAGAAATATAAATTTTCATGAATATTATGTTTGCACATGCACATGTGCATAAAACACATAACTTTAATAAAGGAATTGCTCAAATAAATACTGATATACACCATTAAAGCAACTGTGCCTTTTGCTATTTCAATTGACATTTACTGAAGAGAGACATACTTTATCATAGTGATATATATTACTTCCCATTTTATTTTAGTAATTTAAAATTGTCAAATAACCAATCTGTGAAAAGTCAAGTGACTTTTATGTAGGAAAATTTAACCCATTTTGTTTTCACCTATTTTAATGTTTATTATTTACTTAATTCTATTTTTTTATGACAGGGCTGGAAATTCTATTAAGGAAATGGCTGCGTCTTTTTAAAATCACAGTGGCTAGTAAAATCCCTGGCATAGAGTAAACATTCAAAATATTTGTCAACTTTTATCCTGTTGTGGAGCTTAATATTTGTTGTGAATAGATTAATGAAAGACAATTTCATTCGGGGCTGAGCTGGGAGGACCACTTGAGCCTGGAGATCTAGGCTGCAGTGAGCTACGATTGTGTCACTGCACTACAGCCTGGGTGACAGAGCGAGACAATGTCTCAAGAAAAAAAAAAAAGATAATTTCATAAATGGGTAACAATTAAATGAGCATTGAAGAGCAAGGATAAATGTCTAATTTGGGAAGTAAAAACAGGTTTCATGTAGGAAATAATACTGGAGCTAGATGTTAAGTCAGAAGCATCAACATTTGAATTTATTTTTTCAATAATTGTATAAATGTTAAATTAACACTTAATTTTTCTGCACTTATGTTTTCTAATCAAGAGCTTAATTTAATTACTAGCTTCCTTTAATGACGATGAAGTCTTATTTTTCAAGAAATATCAGACCAGAAGTTAGATATTTAAAGTAACTATTTTCCAAGTTAGGTTTTGTTAAGGGTCATATTTCACTTTCACAATATGAAAATATAACATTTCCATTATTAAGCATATAGTTAGAATTAATCTTAGAGCTCAATTTTTTTTTGTCTTCTATCCACCGGATTATAATTTTTTGCTATGACCATTTTCTCCTAATAAGGTACTGAAAATCTGTCTCCTCCATCTATTTTAAACCTAGGATATGTCTTTTAAATAATTTCCATTGTTTATCTTCTCAAACTCTAATTTGAAATTATATTTAAGTAAAATATTGTTTATTTATAAATTATTTTTATGAAATAATACTCAAAAATGTATTTTACATAAGAACACCTCTTAACTTTTAAATCTCACTTTTCACTTATCTTTCTACATATAAGCCTATTTATTTTCCAGAGGTAGGGTGACTAAAGAGACCCAGCAAGAAATAATTCTAAGAATCCATCTTTATTTCCTAGTCGAGACTTATTCTTCCATTCTATTCAGAATTCCAGGGTTTATTATCTGGCAACCTCATATTTGCTATTACATATATCTTTGATGGGATCTCTAGGTGACCATTAAAGGGAATCAACAGCAAATATTTACTCCTAGACACAACACAGATTTTAGCTCTTTTCAAATTTTATAGCTCATAACAGCTTGGTGTGTGTGGCTTTTTATACCATTACTTTCAAAAGGAATGGCATCTAGACCCAAGGTAGATAAAACAAGTGCTGAAAGGCAGACAAAAAAACAAATTAAGGCTGATCACCAGATTTAGAAATTTACTTTGAAATAAATGGCAGAAACTACTTATGAAAACATTATATCTATATATCTATATCTCTCTATTCTAACTTCTCTGAGAGAAGTAATTAAAAAATCTTAATTAAGAATGAAAAGTCATATATATATGCACATATATACCTATATAAATGATAGATAGGAGCAGTATCTGCAAATTAAAATATTAAATAATAATTTTTTACTTCCATTGTTTTACATATCTAATTAATACTTCCAAATACTCCTTACCTATTATTTTTCTAAAGTTTAAGGGAGGAGTTGTTCAAGTACTGTAGCAGATTCATTTTATCTGCCACTCCAGACCTGTTTCATCACATCAGACCAAGGGGCCTAAACTCCTTGTCTATTTTATTGGCCAGAGCTGCTGTCACACAGACTTACATCACTTCTGGGGTCCTAGATCCCTATTGCACTGACTTTATATCCTTCTATTGCTGATTGTCTCAGCTGTACCTGGAGGCAAGGGATAGGCTGTGGTTTAATCTCAGTCACACATTCTGCAACTCCAGCAACCCAGTTCTGATCCAACTGGGTCCACTAAGTTTGCAGCTTCCTCAGCAATTACATGACACCACTGAATACTACAACATCAGCACAGAAGGAATAATATTTTGAGGAGCAGACTTGGCCATAAGGTTACAGGATATTGGAAAGAGCTATCCTATAAAGCATTCACCTTTTTTCTCTTTGATGGACCACTAGCAAGAAAGTGTTTACTTATAGCCTCTGCAGAGATATCTCATGTGTCTGAGCAACCAGAGAAAATCTTTGGCAAATTGTGCAAGATACTTTCATGAATTTGTTTTTGCTCCATTTCTTCCTCACTTGCTTATTTATTTTACACAAGATTTCCCTAAATTGAAGTCTCATGCATTAACAGTATGCTCATGTAAGCTTTAGCTCCAGGCTTTATTTCCAACTTTACCAGAAAGGGGGAAAAATCTACCAGCTAGTGGAAAAAAGCACAGAAAAAAGCCTATTAGCTAGTTAAAAGAGAAAAAAAATGCAAACAAGGATATCTGCTCCTGACGAAGTGAAGTATTACGGATGGAATTTACAATCCTGACTGAAACAACAAAAAATACGGGCGTAAACACATGAAATCAAGGTTTTCAGACATTGTCCATTAGGCAATGCAAAATAATGATTTTTGAAAAGAGGGAAACAACAATTTACAGCAATTTGTAATTTGTGTCAAATATTTAATAAATAAGAAGACACACATGTATTTTAAAAATAAAAGAGGAGTAAGCATCATTAAACTTATTCTGAAGATACCATATACCTAATACTAACTCACAAAGATATTACAAATGAAGAGGAAAATTATGGACTAGTATCTATCATGAATATAGAAAAATTCTATCAAAATATTTAAAACATTAATTTTACAGTATATAAAAATAATTGTAGACCATGACAGAAATTTCTTCCAAGAACATAAAAAGAGTTTTAAATTAAAAAGTAAACCTATCTAACTACCAGATACACAGAATAAAGATGAAAAGCTATATAATCATTTAATAAATGAAGCAAAATCACTTGAAAAAATTCAACATCAGTTTAGGTTAAAATATTCAGAAAATTAAGTATAGAAGAAAATATACTATAACTATTGAAGACAATTAAAAATGTTATTTGGAATTTATACAAATAAAATTATACTTAATGATAAAATAATAAATATTTCCCTCTAATCTCAAGAACAGGAGAAAGACATCTGTTTTTTGCCATTTCTATTCAACATTTTACTGAAGGTCCTAGCCTTTACAGCAGTGGACAATTGCAGATGACATAATTGCTTTCATAGAAAACCTTAAGTGACCTAAAGAAGAACTACTCTAAATGAATAATAAGTAAATATAACAAAGTTTTAGATTAGGTAAATTCTTATATAGTAGCATGAACAATTTGAAAATAAAAAAGTAATTCATCGTAGCTCCAGAAAATAAGTTTAGGAATAAATTGGAGTAAAACTACTATGCTGAATGATACAAAGCCCTGTGGAGAGAAATTAAGTGTTATTGGGAATATTTTCATATTTATGGATTGGAAGATTTAAGATGCCATTTCTCCCAAATTGATCTATAAAAAGTCTCAGGCATTATAACACTAGGTTTGTTTTAAGAAATTGATATTCCCCCATTAAAATATGGAAATGCAGAGGACTTAGAAAGTTCAAATCCAGCTTTATAAAGAAGAACAAATTTGAAGGACTTGCACTACTAGACATCAAGAATTATTATACATTTAGCATAATGAGTGTGTTACTTACATGAGATCGACAAATAGATCAATGGAAGAAAAAGACCAGAAATAGACCTACACTTATACAATCATTTGATTTTCAATAAATAAATCAAAACAATTCAAATGGAAAAGGAAAGGTCTTTTACAAATTGTTTTGAATTACTGTGGTCCATATGTTTAAAAATAAATACATATTTAATTATAAAATTATACATTTACATACAGTTGTAAGTAAAAAAAAGTAGAGAGATCCTATGAACACTTTAACCAGTTTTTGCATTGGTAACATCTTTTACAACTATAGTACACGGTCACAATTAGTATATTGGCATTGATATGGTCAAAATACGGAACATTCACATCCGCACAAGGTTTCCTTATGCTGCCCTTACGGCCACACTTCCAACCCCTCCAACCCCCACTCTATCTCCAGTCCAGCCACCATTCTAGTAGGTTATTATGGCATTGCTGTTTTAATTTGCAATCCTAGAAGAAAAATGATATCTTCTTTGATGATGTATCTGTTTAGACATTTTGCCCATTTTTAAATTGGATTGTTTGTTTCTCATTGTTGAGTTTGGAGGTCTTTGTATGTTTTTGATGCCAGGCCTTTATCACCTATGTGTTTTGCAAAGATTTTCTTGCAGTCTGTGGCTTGTCTTTTCAATCTCTTACTACTGTCTTTTGCAGAACAAAAATTTTTTAAATTTTAATGAAGCCTAACATCAATTTTTCCTTTCATGGATAGTGTTTCTGGTGTTATATCTAAAAAGTTATCACCAAACACATTGTCGCCGAGATTTGCTCCTATGTCACCTTGCAGAGGTTTTTGTGGTTTTCATTTTTATATTTAGGTCTATTGTGTATTTGAGCTCATTTTTATGAGACATATAAGATATATATATATATTCATTTTGCTGTACATAGATAAGCATTTTTACAGTTTAGAATCTTGTTTAGAATCAGTTTGTCAATATCTATAGTGTAACTTGCTGGAATTTGGACTGAAATGGCATTGAATCCATTAATTATGCCTGAAAGAATCAACACCATAATCATAATTAGTGTTCCAATCTATGGATCCAGCATATTTCTCCAGTTGCTTTGGTCTAGTCTCTTTTTACTCTGCTGCCTGGCTGCTGTGGTATCTCTCAATGAGGGAAGGCCATAGGGGAAGGGGTGGCTGGGGAGGAGGGGAGGTTCAGATCTAGCAGGAAAAGAGAGTACTTCCTATGGTTGCTTGTTGGTAATAGGTTCTGATTTTCCTTGATGGTGATACAATACTGCTTGTTGTCAGATGACTTTCGTTGGGTAAGAGGAAAGAATAAGGCAATCTGTACTGCCTGCTCTTCCTAGGCTGGGAACTGGGAAATGCCAGACCTAGTCTTCCCCTTCTATTAGTGGAGACACATACAACATCCTAGCACTGTGTTCTTTCTTCAGTCTTGGTATTCCAAACCACTTTGCCTTTCCCTTACCACCTTGCAGAGTTCTTTTGGTTACTTCTTGCATTATTCACAGGTTTTATATCGTACTTAAAGGGGAGGAACAGGGAGAAATGAATCTATGACGTCTTAGCTGGACCTGAATTCAGCATCTTAACTTTTGGCGAAAAGCCTGATAGTTTCTTATAATCTTAGCATACCTCTTCTTGACAATTTCAGTTTCTGATATTTGCTCAGGGGAATAAAAATTTTAAAAAACGTGAAAAAACAAAGCTGATTTATTCATAATTGCTTCATTCCAAACCGGAAACAGCAGAAAGTCATTCAGTGTGGAAATAGATTTTTAAAAATCTGCTGCATATTCATACAATGGAATACTATTACGCAATAAAAAAGAATAAAATATTTAGGCAGCAACAAATATTAATTTCAAAAATATTATGTTGAATGAAAAACCATTATATAGAATAACACATAATGTTTACCATAATGTTTATTTCTATTTTTCTCAGTTTCTGGAAAAAGCAAAATTGATTTATGGTAGAGAAAATTCAAAAGAATCATCATTGTTCTTGGGGTGGTGAGAATGTGTATTGACTTTGAAAGAGCAAGAGGGAAATTTCTCAGGCGATGGTAACATTTTACATTTTGTTAAATGTTTGGATTTCACAGGTGAATGCATTGGCCAGAATATCTGAGACATCTACAATTAAGATCTGTGCATTCAGTTGTGTATAAAATTTACCTAAGCAGTTTACAAATATTAAACATTAGTTGATAATATGCATGCTTAAATATTTGGAAGAAAGTATATGGGTATCAACAACTTAATTTGAAATACACAATAAGGTATATTGACTGATCATTACAGAAATGGAAAGGTGGAAAGATGTATAATATGTATAAAAATTTAATTGTCAAATCTAAAAAGTGAGTGTTTAATTATCAGCACAAAATTCTCAAAATGTCTTCAAACTTCTTCATGCTTGTTAAATTTTAATAATAAAATACTGAAAGAATGGCAGAATGCTTGCTTCCCTTTGATATGTACTAAAAATGTCTAATGTCTTTATTTGGGATATTCAGCTCTTTGTTCTAAGGATCTAATTTACCCTGTGCATCTCTTTCATGATGGATAACTACTAGTTTTTTTAGGGCGGAGAAAATCATGTATGTTAAGTATGACATCTGCTTAATGAGTAACATCTGCACCAATAAGTATGACGCACTGTACATGATATGCTCTATCTTGTAGTATTAAACTTTTTTTCTGATTACATCTTCCCAGATGTTTGTAGTTTAACTGTATCTTACTCAGAGGGGTACACTTTTAACTAGCATTTTCTGAATACAAACCTCAAGGTATTCATATTATACAACCAATTTTAGCACAAGGGATGACTGCTGGGATAAATTAGGGACAATAGAGAGGTTATTACATCATATCATGGAACAAAACCCTAGCAAGCATGCAAACTCTGTACTTGGGTTAACATTGCAGCAGATTACACAGCTGTACTCAAAATTGAAACTTTTAACATGTATTTATATCGATAATTATAACTAATGCAAACAGAGAGGTAAAGTAATTGAAACAAACAAACAAAAGAAACACAGTACTACCTCTGGCAAGACATCACAAAATAGTTTACAGTTTATTCAATGAAATTTATTCAAGTTGTTATAACTCAGTGGCAATACTATTTTAGAAAATACATTTTTATATCTTCTCTTTTCTTTGGTTAAAAATAGCTTTCACTGACAAATAGAAATTTTGGGGTTTGTTTTCTTCCTAAGTCAAGTTCTGCATTATGAAATATTCTATTAAATATTGATGGGTATTAAGAAACAGGTACTACTTTTACAATATTTAAAATATTGGGATTATATTTCCATGAGTTTTGGTAACTTTTCAACAGCTAGGAGTCTTGGCACCAGAAAAATAATTAGCATCACCCAGATGTAGCTCTATCAACTATTAGACTATTCTGTAGCAATATTTTTTTCTAAAAATTTTGAGCAGATAATTGGAAATTAAAATCAGGCATTAAGAGAATAACAGTTTTTATTTCAAAGCTATTTGCTACCCTTCTGCCTTCTACCCTCTGCATTTTACATACTTATAAATCTGAAATGAAAGCATTTTCTTTGGTTAAAACCATATTCTCTTTTAAAAGCAACATTTTGGAGTTTTATGAGAGTAATTAAAATTGAGAAGCTCGATGATATCCAAACCTGAACTGTTTTGAAAAATATAAATGATGTACTTAATATGTGTAATTGCTAATTTATATTTCTTGTTCTAAAACTGGTTATTAAACAATCATGCAGAAACAAAATATAATTGACGTCTTTTAGGATGAGTTATTTTTTCAAACAATTTAAAAGTATGGTTATAGTTATAGACCAACATGTAAGCAATTATGAGATTTATGAATCTACTGACAATTCTCTAGCTTCAACTCATTTATATGTTGATGAAGCTTACTAATGTTTTGGAACAATCAAACTGATAGTTATATTACTTAAAGGAAACAACTTATTACTAAACAGATTTTATACTATCATTAATTCTTAATCACTTGAAATGACAACTGAATATTTTTAGTCCCTAAAAATATAACCAAAGCTATTATGTTATTTTAGATAGGATACAGAAGTAATCTAAGGATTCATTTCCGAAATACTGCCATCTTGTGGTATTCTTCACAGAACATCTAACAGTCATTTATGATACGGACTTTGGGTAAAAACAAGAAGGGTACTCTAATGACATAAATAGACCCAAATGAATACCGTGGAAACCTAGAGAGTGAAAATAATCTTTATCTTAAGAACTATGAAAGATCCCCTTAGTATTCATCTGGATGAGGAGTTCCAATACAATATTTTATAAGCAAAAAGAGATAATTTATCTTATTTGTCTATACATTTCTTAATAGAAAATAATTCAAGGAGAAAGTGAATCAATACTAATTTTCTCTCTGGAGAGAAAATACTGTTTTGTCTCAATCCAATTCATTTCAATACAACTACTCACTGAGCATTTTTAATAGAAGGTTTACACATTATTTGGCAACAAACACAGGGCTGTGACTACTCTTTGATTTCCTTTTGGGTCTTTATGACCCAGGTCTCATTTGTGTTATGACTTGTATTATAAAGTTCCAGGGGTTGTGCCTTATTTTTACACCGTTGAGTTGTTTGGCGCTCAGGGTCATCTGAATTATCCTCACTCTCTTCAGCGACAGAATACAGACCTGCAACAGATATGGAAATACACCTCTTAGCTTATAATCTATTTTTTTCACTGAAATGTAATTATTTAATTGTTTACTTATTCACTAGTTTGACCCCTAATTTAGTGCAACTCTTTCCAAAAGCAAAATTTACCACCAATAAAGATGGATAAAGGATATTTGACATGATTTGAAGATCACTTCAAAAATTCTTTAGAAGTTATTGGCAAAACTGCAATCTTCATTTGGATCTATAATCTCTGTTATATTAACTCATTAAGTCAAATGATCAATCATGCTATTTTATGGTTTTATTTTTAGGGGTTCATTAGTTACACAAACATTAAATAAAGATAATGAAGCTATTATAAAACTTAGGGAAAGAGTAGTTTCATGGTCCTTTGCACTGAAAGGTTGCCTAGATCTCTAGTAATGCACCAAAAGCATTTGATAAATTGTGAACATGAGAACAATGTCTGTAAACACTTTCAAGATCAGCTTAGGCGTCCTCTGGTAACTGAAGCAGAAGGAAGCATTTTCAAAGTGATGCCAGAGCAAAATGCCCTTAAGCTTTGAGTATTGAAGCAGTTTTCACACAATAAAAGAAAAACTCCTTATGAGGCAACTTTGCCCTTGCTCTCAAGACACTCTTATTTTCTGCAGCAGAAATTAATGTGAATACTATCAATGAACCCAACCTTGTAATAAGCTTTGCTTATATCTTTGGCAAATGTTTTGTGTTTCTCTGCATCCTGGTCCAAAAATTTCAAGTGCTTTTACTTTCCATGATGAGATATTAACTATAGAGAAACTTCAGTATTTTCCTTCAGGACTGAATCCCTCACCCCGTGGCATAATCAAGAATATTGCTGCCCTTCCTCTTTAAGTCTTTAAATACTCAATTTCAAATTCAAAGTAATCAATTTTAATAGGAGGAAAAAGCATAATGGTTTTGAATAAGTACCAGTGCTGATATGGCAAGACTAAAATAATCTATTTTATTTCATGTATGAGTGATATCTCCATAAATGCCCATTATTGTTAATAATTTAGTTCAAGATACCATTTGAATGTAATCTACAACATGAAAGAAAAATAATTTTTATACATTAAAAACTCCAGGATGATTAGAAATGCCAAAATGAAAAGAATCTTGGCAAATATGCCACCTAAAAGCATAATTATTTTTCAAATAGATAGTAAAACCGATATGCATATGACATTAAATATATAACTCATGCACATGGTATTAAATACATAGGTGAAAAGACACCTTATTATATTATAGTGCTCTTCAATACAAGTTCTCATTGCACCTAAAAACTTTCTATACTAATTATATTACCATAAAAAATTACAGATTGACTTAAATGCCCAATACTTCCAGTAAGCATGACGATTTTAAAGTAATTTAAATCTCTCAGTGCAATTCTTTTTGAAATATATGTATATATTAACTATTCGATATTTGAACACATGTCGCCATAAGTTCTTAAAAATATGTATTTATATGCATAAACAAGCATGTTTTATAGAAGAGAAGTGCTTCTGAATGTAAAACCAAGAAGACACTTAAAACCATATGTATTTGACTAAAGCTTAAGAAGGACTGAAATATGCTCTTAAATTATTAGACTGTATTTATTATTTTTTTAGACATAATGAAAATTTTTTGCTGAATTCTATCCTTGTCACTTGTTTGTGACAAGTTGTGTTTATTCCTGATTTATTTAAATATTGAGCCTGTCTTTCTTTGCCAAGGGATTTCTAGATTTTAGCTTATATATTTTTCATCCTTTTCTTTATCCCAATCTTTGCCTGAAACAGCATTTTTCAAATTTTGCATTTTTCCTTAAGTACAAACCTTTTTTATACTGCTTATTTTTAGCATTTTTTGTATTTTAATATCATTCAAATGGCAAACACTATGTTGCTTCAAATGAAAAAAAATTATCATGTAAACAATTTGCTATATATTATTAATATTTTATATATTTAACATTGTTAATGACAAGCTATTGGTTTGATAATGCTTTCCTATAAGCAAGGAAGGAGCTTTTGCATGTTCTAATTATAAGAAAAATGCTATTAATTCCATTGATAACTATTAATATGATTCAAATGTTAACATAAATGTTATGTGTTGTATAGCATCGATTATGTTGAACAGACATAAATTCACTTAGTCATTAATCTAAAACAACTATCAGTGAATATTAATCATTATATAGTGGATAAGAGTAGCTAATATAATTAGGCATATGATAGAATTAAGTTATTTTCTAATACCCTTTACTGCCTTGTATAACTTAGTAATAAATCTAACAAACAAGCAAACTAAGTTGAATTTTTCAAGATTTAATCAAACTGGACATAATCATTATTGTTACATTTCTGTTATTCTAGCTAATTTAAATTTCCTTTTGTCCCCCTCATTTTTTTTAATTAGTCTAGACAACGGCCTAGATATATTAACATTACAATAATTCTGCAAATTAATCTATATGGCATGTTTTTACCTTTATCTTCCCAATAGGAATGAAAGAATAATATGTGTGTGTGTGTGTGTGTGTGTGTGTGTGTGTGTGTGTGTGTGTGTGTTGAGTTTCTGTTTATAAGGTATCTGGATGATACCTTATAAACATTATTCTTTTAATGAGGTTCTATAAAAATCAAAATACAGGAACCAATATATGACATAATTTGCATTGGAGAAAATGAAATCAATAATGTGGGAGTTAAAACTGAGAAAATGCCCTAGAATGACAAGTCAAAGTATAACAAAAGAAAAGATGATAAGAAATCTAAAACATGTGTGTAGTAAATATCATAAGTAATTAGAACTTTACAGAATAAATATCTTTAATTTTTGCCCCTTCAAACGAGTTTTCCTGAGTATACATTTCCTGTCTCTTGATGACATCTTGGGCTTATTCTTAAGTTGTCTATTCACGTACACTAATAAGAATGATATCCCTCTAATAATCAAAATTCACTTTGTAATTTAAAACGTTCACTGCAGTCTGAACCATCAGTTCGATCACATACATATCCAACTCAATGCTTAGTGCCTTACTTTATCTGAGAGACTTGATTTGTTGTCAGATATATCAGCACTAGGAAAGAGAATCAATTTCTCCTTTCGTTCTTTACTTTTCTCTTCTCTTCTCTCAGCTTACATATTATTTTGCTCTTTTTCATTTGCCAAGGAAAAAGAAAGGTAAAAGGAGATATAAAAACTACATATGTTTTGCTTTTTGATATGCATTCCAATTTTAACTTTCTTGTGGAACATAGGTGTGGTTTCTTCCAGAGGCTCTGTAGGAGCTCCCCCATTGAAGACTGCCCTGATATGAACAATCTTCCTGGTTGAGACTGCTTACTAAGCACTACCTCTAGATCTCACTCTCCACAGTATCTATCACAATCTCTAGCTGTGGGGGGACCCTTTCCCTGGTGATGAGCCTTTCAACATGGAGCCCTGATAAGAGAGCCCAAGTACAGCTACTTTCTTTGACATACACACAGTCCTTTGTCCAGTATGTATTCTTGCCATTCCAAAAGGAGGAAAAGTGGCTCCATCTTTGGCCCCCTTCACCCGCAGTATTACACAGTCTTCCAGGAGTACATGATAGGCTCTCTCAAGAATGTACTCACCACACTTTTTCCCATGGCAACTCTGCAGTGGCCTTATGAGCCACAGACAGATGCCTGAAATTTTGTGGGCATCCTCAAAATCCATTACAATTTTTGTGCACTCAGCATGAGTTGGCTTGGGAAGGAAACACTTATTTCTTTATTCAAGGCAAGGATATGGGAAAGAAAAGAAGAAAGAAAAAATAAAGGAAGAAAGAAAGAAAGCTCCCAAACTTAGTAAATATTCCTATTTAATATGTGAAATTGAATCTAATTAATGAGAAAAAAATGTTTTGAGGGTTTAATAATGCCTAGTACTAATTGTCTAGGGTAGTATTTTAAACTTTATGTTGGTACCTCACATCTAAATGGTATTTGCCATTTTATAAAGTACAATCACATTCATGGACTCCTGTAGGTGTCACAAAAAATAATAATAAACTGGTAGAGAAGACATTTTTTATTCCAGTTTTACAAGCTAGGAAAATGAGTATCACAAAAAAGTGATTTAAAACTGCTGAAAAGCTATTAAGTCAGAAGTCAGGTCTTCTTTAATTTTGTTTTTTGTTTGTTTTTATCCCTTCTGACTTTTATATTTATTTATTTATTTATTTTGAGACAGAGGTTTTGTCTTGTTGCCCAGGCTGGAGTGCAATGGCGCGATCTGAGCTCACTGCAAACTCCGCCTCCCAGGTTCAAGCAATTCTCCTGCCTCAGCCTCCTGAGTAGCTGAGATTACAGACATGTGCCACCATGCCTGGCTAATTTTGTATTTTTAGGAGAGATGAGGTTTCTCCATGTTGGTCAGGCTGGTCTCAGACTCCAGATCTCAGGTGATCAGCCTGCCTCAGCCTCTCACAGTGCTGGGATTACAGGAGTGAGCCATCATGCCTGGCCCCTTCCAACTTTTATTTTAAGTTTAGGGGCTACATGTGCAGTTTTGTTACATGAGTAAATTGTGTGTCACTGGGGTTTAGTGCAGAGACTATTTCATCACCCATGTAAGAAGCATAGTACCTGATAGGTAGTTTTTCAATCCTCATGCTCCTCTCACCCTCCACCCCCAAATAGACCCCCTTATCTATTGTTCTCAACTTTGAATCCAAATGTATTGGATGTTTCACTCCCACTTATAAATGAGAACATGTGGTATTTTGTTGTCTGCTCCTGTCTTATTTGGCTTAGGATAATGGCCTTCAGCTGCATCCTTGTTGGTGCGAATAACATAATTTTGTTCATTTTTATGGCTGCATAGCAATCCATGGGGCATATGTACGACATTTTTCTTATCTAATCCACAGTTGATGAGCATCTTGGTTGATACCCTGTTTTCACTGTGGTGAACAGTGCTGCAATAAGCATACTATGCATGCCTGTATCTTTGTGGTAGAATGATTTATATTCTTTTGGATATACACCCAGTAATGATATTACTGGGTCGAAAGTTAGTTCTGTTTTAAATTCTTTGAGAAATCTCCAAACTGCTTTCCACAGTGGCTGAACTAATTTACATTCCCTCCAGCAGTGTATAAACATTCTGTTTCTCTCCACAACCTTGCAAGCAACTGTTATTTTTTTGACTTTTTAATAATAGCCATATTGACTAGTGTGAGTTGGTACCTTATTGTGGTTTTGATTTGCATTTCTCTAATGACTGGTGATGTTGAGCATTTTTTCCTATGCTTGTTAGTCATGTGTAAATCTTCTTTTGAAAAGTGTCTGTTCATGTATTTTTTTCCACTTTTTATTGGGGTTGTTTGTTTTTCACATATTGCTTTGTTTGTTTCCTATTGATTCTTGATATTAGAACTTTGTTAGATGCTATTGCTTATAATTCCCTGTATTAGTCCATTTTTACACTGCCAATAAAGACATACCCGAGACTGGGCAATTTACAAAAGAAAGAGGTGTAATGGACTTACTGTTCCACATGGCTGGGGAGGCCACTCAATCATGGTGGAAGGTGAAAGCCATATCTCTCATGGTGGCAGACAAGAGAAGAAGAGCTTGTGCAGGGAAACTCCCCTTTTTAAAGCCATCATATCTTGTGAGACTTATTCACTATCATGAGAACAGCATGGGAAAGACCTGCCCCCATGATTTGATTACCTCCCACTGGGTCCCTCCCACAACACGTGGGCATTTAAGATGAGATTTGGGTGGACACAGCCAAAGCATATAATCCCACCCCTGGCCCCTTCCAAATCTCATGTCCTCACATTTTAAAACCAATCATGCCTTCCCAACAGTCCCCCATAATCTTAACTCATTTCAGCATTAACGCAAAAGTCCACAGTCTAAAGTCTTATCCAAGACAAGGCAAGTATCTTCTACCTATGAGCCTGTGAAATCAAAAGCAAGTTAGTTACTTCCTAGATACAATGGGGATACAGGCATTGGGTAAATATGGCCATTTCAAATGGGAGAAATTGGCCATAACAAAGAGGCTACAGGCCCCATGCAAATTCAAAATCCAGTGGGGGAAGTCAAATCTTAAAGCTTCAAAATGATCTCCTTTGATTCCGTATCTCATATCCAGGTCACGCTGATGCAAGAGGTGGGCTCCCATGGCCCTGGGGAGATATGCCCCTTGGATTTGCAGGATATAGCCCCCTCCTGGCTGCTTTCATGGGCTGGTGTAGAGTGTCTGTGGTTTTTCCAGGTACATGGTGCAAGCTGTTGGTGGATCTACTATTCTGGGGTTTGGAGGACAGTGGCTCTCTTCTCACAGCTCCACTAGGCAATGCCCCAGTAGGAACTCTGTGTGGGGGCCCCAACCCCACATTTCCCTTCTGCACTGCCCTAGCAGATGTCCTCCATGAGGGCCCTCCCACTGCTGATAAAGATACCCCAAGACTGGGCAATTTATAAAAGAAAGAGGCTTAATGGACTTACAGTTCCATGTGGCTGGGGAAGCCTCACAAATTTCTGCCTGGACATCCAGGTGTTTCCATACATTCTTTTAAATCTAGGTGGAGGTTCTCAAACCTCAATTCTTGACTTCTGTGCACCTGCAGGCCCAACATCATTTGGAAGCTGCTAAGGCTTGGGCCTGGCACCTTCTGAATCCACAGCCCAAGCTCTATATTGGCCCCTTTCAGCCATGGCTGGAGCAGCTGAGACACAGGGCACCAAGTCTGTAGGCTGCACACAGCACAGGGACCTTGGGCCCAGCCTACAAAACAAAACCTGGGTCTCTGGGCTTGTGATGGGAGGGGATGCCATGAAGACCTCTGACATGCCCTGGAGACATTTTCCCCATTGTCTTGGGGATTGACATTCAACTCCTTGTTACTTATTCAAATTTCTGCAGCCAGCTTGAATTTCTCATCAGAAAATGGGATTTTCTTTTCCATCACATTGTCAGGCTACACATTTTTTGAACTTTTATGTTCTACTTCCCTTTCGAAACTAAATGCCTTTAGCAGCACCCAAGTCACCTCTTAAATGCTTTGCTGCTTAGAAATTTCTTCCACCAGATACCCTAAATCATTTCTCTCAAGTTGAAATTTCCACAAATCTCTAGGAAAGAGGCAAAATGCCACCAGTCTCTTTGATAAAACATAACAAGATTCACCTTTGCTATAGTTCCCAACAAGTTTCTTATCTCCATCTGAGCACCTCAGCCTGGATTTCATTGTCCATATTATATTAGCATTTTGGTTAAAGCTATTTAACAAGTCTCTAGGGAGTTCCAAACTTTCCCTCTTTTTTTATCGTCTTCTGAGCCCTCCCAACTGTTCCAGCCTCTGCCTGTTACCCAGTTCCAAAGTTGCTTCCACATTTTCAGGTATCTTTCCAGCAGCACCTGACTTCTGGTTCCAGTTTACTGTATTAGTCCATTTTCACACTGCTGATAAAGACGTACCCAAGATTGGGCAATTTATAAAAGAAAGAGGTTTAATGGACTTACAGTTCCATGTGGCTGGGGGGGCCTCACAATCATGGTGGAAGGAGAAAAGCACATCTCTCATGGTGGCAGACAGGAGAAGGAGAGCTTGTATGGGTAAACTCCTCTTTTTAAAACCATCAGATCTTATGAGACTTATTCACTATCACAAGAACAGCATGGGAAAGACCTGCCCCCATGATTCAATTACCTCTCACTGGGTCCCTCCCACAACACGTGGGAATTCAAGATGAGATTTGGGTGGGGACACAGTCAAATTGTATCATTCTCCTTCAATCAGAAGTAATCATGAAAGTGATTCATACAAATATAGAATAATCAGTTATGTTGTTCATCTCTGAATTTTGAACTTACATACTAAAATGGGTATTCTAACTTTATGCCATGGGATCATATATAATGTTAAAGGCACAGAAGAATAACAGCAATATATTACCATGCCCATATTAATACCCATATCAATAAATAAGAGATTTGAGATAGCTTCATGTATTATGCAAGAAAAGTTTTCCTCGCTTCAATGAAATATATTCATTTGACTGAAAATTTTGAAGCAACTGGTTAATTCTCTACTTTTCTTGTCATGTTAACATGTGTACATGTGTGTGTACAGAGGGATAGATAATTATTTTGTTAATATTATTTTGAAACCATATTTTATTCATGTATCAAAAACACTTGAAAATCATCTTTATTTCAGGCAATAAATATTGTAAATAGTCAACCTGTCATTCAGAAGTAGAACCTGGTTCTTGTGGTTAAGTAAATCTCACTCCATTTAAAATAAATCAAGATACATTTTTTATTTCTTTTAATGTAATTAAATGGAGTGAGATATAATTATATTAAAAGTAAATGTTATAAATAATAATTCTACTCTATTTTAAATTCTCAAATAACTGATAAAATGTATTCAGAACAAAGCAGAAGTTCAGTTTCATTGTGTATCATATCTAATGAATATCACCTTGAAGGTGTATTAGTGTGTCATGTATTTTTAGATATTTCTCAACATGAAGTTTTATATAACTGTCTACAAATAGCTAATTTTACTGGGAGCTATAGAATTTATTAAATATTAGATAAGTAAATATTTGGAAAAAATATCTACTTTGTAGTAGAGAAAAAAAATTAAATATGCTCTGCTTACTCTGGTCATTTATGTTTTCCCCCTCCTAAAGTTAAAGAACAGCTCCAGCCAATTAACATACATATATGTGTTCATTCACTAGATAGGTTTTATGTGTTTTTATGTTTTAGCACATAGACATAGTAACTAGTAATCCATAATTCTTGACTTCTTCCCTAATAGGTTTCTGAATCAGTTGCCAGAGTAGGACTCTTACTTTCACCCTTCTTACCACTTACAGCCTTACCAGATGGCCTGGCTGACAGCAACAACTGTGCTTTTATCTCATAAACAGCATGATGTCTAAGGTGCAACCAAATAAGATAAGGTTCTTAGAACACATTGTGTGGGAGTGAGTCTCAGTGAAACTTATAATCATAAAATGATACAATTTCTGTTTTTGTATGTGTGCATGTTTGTGTGCATATGTATGTGATAGAAAATGCAGAGGAAGTGCTTAAAATACAAAAATCAAATTTACATTCTTCCAGCTTTTCCAGAGAAGGCAAGTATCTAAAACAAGCAAGTCATTTAAATTCTCTGGATTTATCACCCCAGAATTCTGTATACTTTCAAACCATTCCTTATTTAACTTAAGCCCCAGGGATTAGAAGCCTGCCAAAAAGCACTATATTTCTGGCACATGGACCTAGGATAATTCCCCAAATGTAGAATGCATTTCAAGTTGTTTATTGTAAACACGAAGATATCAAAGCTCGATTCACTGTAAAACAAATTGAAATCCAGTGCGCTTGAAGGTAAGCACTGTAGTTTCTGCTGTAGCAGTCGACTGGTTGGAGCGAACAAAATTATAATGAGCATATCAGAAACAGTAGATTCTTCCTCTTTTCTATTGGCCATCAACAGCACCTATTCAGCAGAGCCTTCTGTTCTAGTGAAAAGGTCAATCATTTCCATTTATTGAATATTCAAATATTCATTACCATAAGTCCTTTCTGAAAGTTAAAGAAAGATGAATATAGATATAGTCTTCCCTCAGAACTCATTCTAGGTAATAAGGAGAGAGCAACACATTATTGTGACTTTTACAATGTCATAGAGAGTTAATATATTCATTATATATTTTGCGGAGCTTTAGCTTGTGGTCATTTACTATTGAAATGATGGGTTAGATCATAGGTAAATGAGCATATTTCTGGAAAATTTTTTAATACATTGCTCCTTAGAAGTCTCAGTGACTACAGAGATTAATCACCAACAAAGCAACGAAACACACACCAAATCATTTTTTCACTGTTTTAATGCTTTGTTAGTTGTATCTCTCTAGTTCCTGGTGAGAGTACATCCAATTCACACAAGCTAGGTTAATAACAAGATTCACTTTCTTACTTACCTAAGAAGTGTAGACGTTATAGTGTTTCAAGGTAGAGCTGATTCTTTGCTCAAGTAATACTTGTGGTCATTTTTTTAAAATTTGTACTAATTTATGGGGTACATGTGAAATTTTGTTACATCCATATGATGCATGGTGATCAAGTCAGGGTACTTAGGGTATCTGTCACCTGAGCACAATACATTTTTGTTAACTGCAGTCACCTTACTTTGTTATACATCATTGAATTTATTCCTTTTATCTAACTGTATGTTTGTATTTTTAACACACTTCTCTTCCTCATTCTCCCCACTCACCCTTCCAGTCTCTGGTCTTTAGCTTTCTACTCTCTAACTCCATGTGATCAAAGTTTTTAGCTCCCACATATAAATGAGAACATGCAACATTTGTCTTTTCGTGCCTGGCTTATTTCACTTAATATAATGACCTCTGGTGTGGTCGGGCGTAGTGGCTCACGCCTGTAATCCCAACACTTTGGGAGGCTGAGGCGGGTGGATCACCTGAGGTGGGGAGTTCGAGACCAGCCTGACCAACATGAAGAAACGCCATCTCTACTGAAAATACAAAATTAGCTGGGCGTGGTGGTGCATGCCTGTAATCCCAGTTACTCGGGAGTCTGAGGCAGGAGAATTGCTTGAACCTGGGAGGCAGAGGTTGTGGTGAGCTGAGATCGCGCCATTGCACTCCAGCCTGGGCAATAAGAGTAAAACTCCGTCTTAAAAAACCAAAACAAAACAACATAATGACCTCTAGTCTCATGCATTTTGCTGCAAATGACATAACTGGAATTGGTTTTCCTGATCTCCTAACATTTCTCTTCGATTGATTTTATTCTCAGATTCTACAAGATAGCCTCCATTTTATATCCTTTAGTGTATCCAGTAAAACAAAACAACAAAAAACCTTTCTTTTCTTTTCTGGAGGCTTTGAGAAATGTTTTTGGATTCGTTTTGATTGGAACAATTTAGGCCACA
Organism: Homo sapiens; assembly: GCF_000001405.40. Taxonomy (NCBI): domain Eukaryota; kingdom Metazoa; phylum Chordata; class Mammalia; order Primates; family Hominidae; genus Homo; species Homo sapiens. The sequence continues at coordinate 119,924,069 of NC_000007.14, read as the reverse complement.
TGTCCTTCTGAATCTTTCTCTAGCCAAAAGCTAAAGTCATGTTGGCCCAGGCTTGCATTGATGGCCCACCCCTGGAGCCTCTTCCCTTTAACCACATAGACTGAAAGTGGGAGAGAAAGACACATAAACCATCAAATGAAAATTAGGTATTTTCATTATAAGAAAGTAGATACTGGGTAGTTAACTATTGGGTAGAAAACCTGTATGTACAATTGTAATAATAAAAGTAAAGAATCACTTTAAACCCACACTTTTTGGCTGACCACATTAGCATATACCCTCCTATATATAAAACTGAAACTTCATTCCAAAAGGATTTATAATAATCACATCCAGCTTCAAATCCAGGCTGTATGGGTAATATTCAACCGATGTGTAAATCTTCAATATCTGATAACTTACACTTAAATTATATATTTATTCAGATATGAAATGTCATAGCCAAAAGGTTAAAAAAAAGAATAACTTTTAGATAACTTTGAGAGAAGACATTGAAAAGCATCACATTATTGTTATTAATTCATAGCACGTATATCCTAGAATATAGAAGAGAAGGGACTTTCTATGTAGCAATGAACTAAGTTTTATTTCAGTGCCGCTGTTATTTTGTTTTGTATTTTATATCACCTGCACTCTCCTATTTGTGTTTGCCAATCTTGAACATATTTGAGATAAAAATATAGAAGGGACCTGGTGCAGTGGCTCACACCTGGAATCCTAGCATTTGTGAGGCCGAAGTGGGTGTATTGCTTGAGCTCAAGAATTCAAGATCAGCCTGGGTAGCATGGTAAAACCCTCTCTCTACAAATAATACAAAAATTATTTGGGCCTGGCAGTGTGTAACTGTAGTGCCAGTTACTCAGAAGGCTGAGGTGGGAGAATCACTTTAGCCTGAGAAGTGGAGGTTGCAGTGAGCCATGATTGTGCCATTGCACTCTAGCAGGATTGACAGGGTGAGAACTTTTCTCAAAAAAAAATAAATAAATAATAATAATAATAAAATTAAAAATGCAGGTCTTCCATTATGCAAAGTGCAATCTTTAGCAGTGGATACCTTATAAGCACTGTGGAGGTGGGCAGATAAAGAGTAGCCTAAGGATTTTTCAGTATAGATATTTTGTAGGCAACAAATATGACTTCATTCAGCATTTGTCAAAAATGCTTTTAACAACTTTTAAAAGTTGTTCTTTATAATTTTCCTAGTCTATTTGTGTTTATTTATATTCAAAATCTGTTAAGCAGCGCTGGAGAACTTGCCTTCTTGTGCTTACTCCTTGGGCCAAATTTTGTCTTAAAAGTTCTCTCTCTGATCAACAGGCCTCTGTGCTCTGTTTATCTCCTTAGGATTCAGGTCCTAAGTGGATTTGCTTAGCCACTGTCTCTTAGAGAATTCAAGAAAATAACTTGACAGGGAAGGCACTAACTGTATCCTTCCCACAAAGTGAAGCAGAGAATTTATGATAGGAAGTACATTAAATAAGCACAAAAAATCAGCTTTTTATTTCATAATCATGTAATTTCCCGTGGCTTGTCCTATAATAAAATTAGCTTGGTTGCCAGTATTGTTCTTCTCCAACCCCACCAGTTTCCAGGTTAGCTGAATTAAAATAATCTTGAATTAAAGAATATAGGAAGAAAAAGAACTCTTCTTGTTTTATTTTCTCTAGACTTTAGGAAAGGTTATTTTCTTAGCTCTGTTCATGTAGAAAACTGAATTTGAGGCAAGAATTAAGATGACATTATTTAATTGTAGAAGTGCAAGTCCAAAACTGTAAGAATGATGAAAAAGAGGGGGAAGGCAAAAGAAGCAAAATTACTCTCCTCCAACACTGCCCCCACCCCTTTTTCCTGTGAATTACTTTTTATGCTTCAACAAGATGATTTCAAAAACAAAATTTTTTCCTTTTTTTTTTTTTAGACAGAATCTTGCTTTGTCTCCCAGGCTGGAGTGTAATTGTGCAATATCCGCTCACCGCAACCTCTGCCTCCTGGGTTCAAGCGATTCTACTGCCTCAGCCTCCCGAGTAGCTAGGATTACAGGTGCCCACCACCATGCCCGGCTAATTTTTTTTTTTTTGTATTTTTAGTACAGACGGGGTTTCAGCATGTTGGCCAGGCTGGTCTCGAACTCTGCCCTCCTCGGCCTCCCAAGGTGCTGGGATAACAGGGGTAAGCCACCGTACCTGGCCTAAAAATGAAATTTTTTCTAAGGTCATTTTATAGAAGATTCATTTTTTACATATATAGTTATTTTAATTGTTACTTATGATGAGTCTATACATGAAGTCTATATTTAACAAATCAAAAATTATTTTAATGGTGATAATGACAAGAATAAACAGTTCATTTTTAGAAAGAACAGCTTAATAATAACTTATACGTTTAAAATGCAAAGGCTAGAAGATGGCTCAGAATGGTCTTTTATTTCATTTTTGATTTGGTTATCATCAGTGCTACCTTAGGTGGTCCTTTCCTTGCTTTCTCAATGCTTTATGCTATTTTATTTCTTTTAGTTCTGCTTCCTCCATTGATGAGGGGAGTTGCAAGAATCTGTGGTCACTTTAATATTTATCTTTCACAATCTCAAACTAAAATACTGTAAGAAATCCTTTGATTTAGAAATATTAACTGCCTCTTAAAACATTACTCCTGTATTCTGTTCTGTTTAAATATGTTTTTTTCTGACTTATGAACACTCTTATAATTGCCCTTTGGATTATTTCAGATTTTTGCAAGACTGTTTTAATAGTTTGTTACAGATGATGGTTTATAGGGGTAGTGACAGTGTAGACGGTTTATAGGGGTAGTGACAGTGTAGAGGAAAACAAGTTGAAAATTTAAGATTGATTTCAGGTGTAGAATTGATAGGACTACATAACAAAATAGGCAATTTAAAGGAATAAAGAACAAATTATTAATTTAACCATGGGTAATAGTACTTTGTGTAATTTCCTATGGTTAATCTAACTTACACACACATACACACACACACACACACACACACACTGTTTGAACCATTATTCAAATTCTTGATTCTAAAATGTCCAGGATAAATTAATATAGCTTTGAGTATTTTATATTTATTAATATTATCCTACAATATCACAATGATTTATTAACATTTTGAAATTTATTAAAAACTGAATGTTGTTTTAGATGTTTCAGAGGATGACGTTATCTAGTTTGACCAAAAAAATCATGTATTAGAGGATAATCATAAACCTCTAAATTAATACTTGTAAGGAAGTTATATGATTTGCTTCTCTAAATAGTTAACTTTAAAAAATTTCTCAATAATATTTTCAATCTATACAACCTCTATTGTATAATCTACATTTTGTTGCTTCTTATAAAATTGGTGTCCAAAGTAAATTCTTGAGTATATTATTACTAGTATAAGGAAAGATAGTAACTGTATGCATTCATATTTATAGAAATTCTTGTACTTTTGTGTTACTTTCCCTCCAATAGATATTCCTCTTTTATTGGGATCATCATTTATTTGTCTTATTATAACTTCTAGACACATTACATGATAACTCTAGTAATAGCAGGGTTTTTATCTATATTTTTCTGTTAAATGAGAACACTTCCAGCATTTTCTTAGTTTTTGCTATAATCCCACTCTACCTCATGACAACTCTTAGGTGAGCTTTGCATAAACAATATGGCTCCCCAAAGCACAAACTACAATTTTGAAGAACATTATTCAAATAAATTTCCTATCATTCAAATGCAAGCATTTGAAATAATTCTAAATATTATCTCTCAGAAATAGTCCCTGCTATTTCTTAGTCTCACTTCCCAAGTGTAGTTTGGCCAATGTTTCCAAAGCATTTAACACAACAGATTCTGTATCTGATGATGCCAGAACCATAGAGCAATTTGTCTAGAAGCCCAAACCATTTCAGGCCACACAGATCCTTCAGATTACTGTCTGGGAAGGAAAGAAAAAAATAAAGGAGGAGAATGGAGGATATAAACCACCCAAGTATGGTAATTTATGTGATAGAGAGGAGTATGTTTACAGACTCCCTAAGATATATTTTGAGATGTGTTGAAGGAACACAGTTTGGCTGAGGGGATTGAAGGAATAGTAGTAGAGGAAATGGAATTATTTATGAGATCACAGAAAGTGGTTGTTCATTTACAAAGCCCAACAACCTAAGGCAAATAATACGAAATCTCAGATGTAATAATAATGAGGCATTTGAATGGAACAAGAGAAATGTCTGGTGACTAATTTACAGAAATATAAACTTCAACTTTATCAAAATCATCAGAAGTTGTTGAAATCATCACTTATGAGATACACATAATTCATTGGGAGAAGATTCTTTCTATGTGTGAAGGCACCTAGACAGAGAAAAGGTTGAATTGATTTTATGCTTAGGAATATTATTTTTGTTGTTTAAAAATGACATGATTAGTGAATTTCTATGGAAATCATGAGAGAATTGCAAATAGGTATTGACAAAATCTTTATACTATTTAATTTCATGTATTTGTGAATTTTGTTATTTTTAACCGATGTATGCCAAGCTCCTATTTTTGTTTACTCTATAATAATAAAGATATTTTTCTTTTATTATTTAAAAGAAGAAGATGCTTAAATGGAGAGAAGTAATATGTTCAAGGTGCTATTGCACCAGTAACATTTTTAAGATCATGGAACAAGATGTACAAATAACAGAAAATACCTTGATAATTTTCTGAGGTTTAAAAGACAATGGGAACATTTGAATCCAAATCAAGTGTGATACAATTTTAATTGAAGAAAGATATCAAATGCAAAACAATTAGAATTACTGCACAATTAAATTTTTCTTTCAGTGTTTATTTTTGTACTCCATATAATGGCAATGGTGAATCCATTTTTTTGAAGCTTAAATTTACACAATTTGGTGAACATCTTTAGGTTAAAACAAAAGAAGAAACAAAAAATACATACGGTATGGAATATTTATTTAGACAGAGAAAATATATCATAATCATAAATTTCAAGAAGCTGACACAACATAATAAAATACAGAAAAACAAGAAAATATATTATGTGACATACTCTACAATAATTTTCTGTATTTTTCTATTATTTTATTGTCTTTTAGGTAATATTTTATAATAATATTTCTATAGAGAAAATTGTAAGCCTTTTTTTCATCTTCCATTGGTTGTTCAAAAGTTGTTTTATTATTGATAACTTTTAAAAATGTCATTCATCTTCAAACTTATTTTATTATGTACTGATTTATTTATTTTTAGAGAAGAGTCTCATTCTATTACCCAAGCTGGAGTACGGCAGCCCAGTGATAATTTACTGCAGCATCAACCTCTCCTGGGCTCCAGTGATCCTCCCACTTCAGCCTCCTGAATAGCTGGGATCACAGATGTGCACCAGTATGCCTGACTTTTTTTTTTTTTTAATTATTATTTAGGGACAGGGTCTATCTCTATTGCTAAGGCTGGTCTTGAATTCCTGGCCTCAAGCAATCTTTAAACTTGCTGTTAATGAACTGGTGACATAAACATCTGTTTATAATGGTGTGACAGATTTACTCTGCCATCTTAAACAACTAAAAATAGCAGAAAAACATATGAAAGAAGAGTTTTCAGACACTCAAAATCAGGTAGTAAAAATAAATCCTGAAAGTAGAAAAGTGTATGAGGTTAGCTCTGAAGTATACCCAGTACATTACTTGGAGAGAATGTTTAGCCTCAGCAAAGGAAGCCTCCTGAGGTGTGGAGACAATTAAGAATTGGGGAGAACATGGTGGCAAGAAGAATAGTGAAGAGAAAAAATATACAAAGAGAACTTGGATTGATTCTTTTGCTGAATACTGAGCAACGTATACTTGTAAATACAAAACACAACAAAAACACCTAAGTTTAAGTCAGGCACTCCCACAAACAGCAGAACAAAATTTCAAAAGCTCAGTAAGGCTTGAAATAGAGTAGAAAAACCTCCTATTATACTCCAAATCCTGACACGTATATAGAAGCATTCTGCCATGGTAATGAGGCTGATTTATGCCCAATCCAAATGTCCCTGGGATTTTAAACATAACAGTGGTTAAAAATATACATAGAAATGATCAGGTTGTTTTCAAGTAAATTAAATGTATCACAGAAAAATGTAAAAAATACTTAAAGAAATACTAGCTTTATTCACATACCTAGCATCTAACTATGTAGTTTAAAATGTATAATGTTCAATCATCAAACATGCAAAGAAGTAGAAAAATTATGCCTAATTGGGATGCAAATCAGCACATAATCCTAGACCTAGAAATAATACAGAAAATAGAATTATTTGACAAGGAAATTATACCAGATATTTAAAAAGAATTAAATATTAAAGAAGGTATAGAAAAGAATTAGAATGTCAAGGAAACACCTGGAAGCACAAAAAATGACATACCAAACATGGATAAAAATATAATGTTAGAGAATTTTTTAAAACCCTGAATGGTATTTACAGCAATTTATATATTGCCTACGAATAGAAAGAATTCAAAATGAAGCAAGGAAAAAAAGATAGAACAAATGGAACTGTGTTCTATCAATGTACAGTAGGTCAATATCAAGCACTTTTAATGTTTTTGCGATTCAAATCTCAGAAAGAGAAGTTCAGGGAGTGGGGGCAGTGGAAATCTACAATAACAAATGATGGCAAATAATTTTCTTTTTTTTAACTTTTCTTTATTTTTAAACTTTTAAGTTCAGGAGTACAAGTGCAGATTTGTTATATAGGTAAACGTGTCATGGAGGGGGGTGGTTGTACAGATTAGTTCATCACTCAGGTATTAAGCCTAGTACCCACTAGTTTTCCTGATCCTCCCCCTCCTCCCACTCTTTACCCTCCAAAGTCCCCAGAGTGTGTTGTTCCCTTCTGTGTTTCCAGCCATCGTGGAAGATAGTGTGGTGATTCCTCAAAGACCTAAAGGGTCTTTAGGTCTAAAGACCGAAATACCATTCAACTCAGCAATTCCATTATTGGGTATATACCCAAAGGAATACAAATCATTCTCTTATAAAGGCACATGAACATGTATGTTTATTGCAACACTGTTCACAATAGCCAAGACATGGAATCAACCCAAATGCCCATCAATGATAGACTGAAAAAATAATTTTCAAAATTTGATAAAAACTCTAAACCCACAGAACCAAAAACTTCAATAAACACCAAACACAAGAAACATGACAAAAATCCCAAGAACATTAGATTAAGACAACTTAAAACTAATGATAGAAATAAATCTTAAAAAAAGAAGACGCAAATTTTTAAAAAACAGGTAAGAAAGAGACATTATATAGAATAAGAGATACATTCAAAAGAACAAAGAATGATGATGGAAATATTTTTGGAAATGATGAGTCATAATGCTCTAGAGCAACATCCTTATAATTCTGAAAGAAAAATGCCAGTGTAGAATGTTATACTCAGTATAGCATCTTCCCAACAAATAACAACTGAAAAAAAAATCATTACCAACAAACCAGCTTTCTGAGGAAAATTATAGGAATTGCTTCAGGTCAAAAAAAATTATACTAGATTAAAATCTAGATCTACATAAAAATGAAGATAACCGACTATAATGAATATATGAGTAAATATAACCTAACCGAGGAGGTAAAAGACCCCCACAAGGAAATCTACAAAACACTGTTGAAAGAAATCAGCCAACAAAAACAAATGGAAACACATCTTATGCTCATGGATGATTAGAATCAATATTGTGAAAATGACCATACTGCCAAAAGCAATCTACAAATTTAATGCAATTCCCATCAAAATACCACCATCATTCTTCACAGAACTGGTAAAAACAATCCTAAATTTTATATGGAACAAAAAAAGAGCCCAAATTGCCAAAGCAAGAATAAGCAAAAAGAACAAATCTGGAGGCATTACATTACCTGATTTCAAACAATACTATAAGACCATAGTCACTAAAACAGCATGGTACTGGCATAAAAATAGGCACATAGAACAATGGAACAGATTAGAGAACCCAGAAATAAACCCTAATAGTTACAGCCAACTGAATCTTCGACAAGGCAAACGAAAACATAAAGTGGGAAAAGGACACCCTATTCAACAAATGGTGTTGGAATAATTGGCAAGCCCCATGTAGAAGAATAAAACTGTATCCTTATCTCTCACCTTATAAAAAAATCACCTCAAGAAGGATCAGAATTTAAATCTAAGACCTGAAATTATAAAAATTCTAGAAGATTACATTGAAAAAATCCTTGTGGACATTGGATTAGTCAAGGATTTCATAACCAAGAGCCCAAAAGCAAATGCAATAAAAACCCATGATAAATAGCTGGGACTTAACTAAAGAGCTTTTGCATGGCAAAAAGAACAGTCAGCAGAGTAAACAGACAAGCCACAGAGTGGGAGAAAATCTTCATAATCTCTACATCTTACAAAGGACTAATATCCAGAATCTACAATGAATTCAAACAAATTAGCAAGAAAAAAACAAACAAACAATTCCATCCAAAAGTGGGCTAAGGACACGAATAGACAATTCTCAAATTTTCATGTTTGGCCAACAAACATGAAAAAATGCTAATGATCAGGGAAGTGCAAATCAAAACCACAATGCAAAACCACTTTACTGTTGCAAGAATGGCCATAGTTAAAAAAATTTAAAAAAATAGATGTTGGCATAGATGCAGTGAACAGGGAACAATTCTGCACTGCTGGTGGGAATGTAAACTAGTCCAACCACTATGGAAAACAGTGTGAAAATTCCTTAAAGAACTAAAGTAGAACTACCATTTGATCCAGCAGTCCCACTACTGGGTATCTACCCAGAGGAAAACAAGTCACTATACATAAAGGGTACTTGTACACACATGTTTATAGCAGCAAAATTTGCAATTGCAAAAATGTGGAACCAACCCAAATGCCCATCAATCAACACATGGATAAAGAAACTGTGGTATAGATACACAATGGAATACTACTCACCCATAAAAACAAATGAATTAATGGTATTCTCCGCAACCTGGATGAGATTGGAGTCTACTATTCTAAGTGAAGTAACTCAGAAATGGAAAACCAAATAGTATGTTCTCATTCAGAAGTGGGAGCTCAGCTATGAGGATGCAAAGGCATAAGAATGACACAATGGATTTTTGGGGCTCATGGGAAATGGGTTAGAAGGGGTTGAGGGGTAAAAGACTACAAACTGGGTACAGTGTATACTGCTTAGGTGATGGATGCACTGAAATCTCACATATCACCACTAAATAACTTATGTAACCAAATACCACCAGATCCCCAATAACCTATGGAAATAAAAAACAATTAAAAGAAACGCTCCATATCATAAAAATAATTATAAATACGAATATGCTCATCAGTATTATTTATAAATCATAGTAAAAACGGAAAAAAAACTTTTTTTTATTATACCTTAAGTTCTGGGTTACATGTGCAGAATGTGCAGTTTTATTATATAGGTATACACTTGCCTTGGTGGTTTGCTGCACCCATCAACCTGTCACCTACATTAGGCATTTCTCCTAATGTTATCCCTCCCCTAGCCTCCCAACCCCCAACAGGCACTGGTGTGTGATGTTCCCCTCCCTGTGTCCATGTGTTCTCATTGTTCAACTCCCACTTATGAGTGAGAACATGTGGTGTTTAGTTTTCTGATCTTGTGATAGTTTGCTGAGAATGATGGTTTCCAGCTTCATCCATGTCCCTGCAAAGGACATGAACTCATCCTTTTTTATGGCTGCATAGTATTCCATGGTGTATATGTGCTAAATTTTCTGTCTAGTTGATCTGTCTAATATTGACAGTGGGGTGTTAAAACCTCCCACTATTATTGTGTGGGAGTATAAGTCTCTTTGTAGGTCTCTAAGAACTTGCTTTATGAATCTGAGTGCTCTTGTATTGGGTGCCTATATATTTAGGATAGTTAGCTCTTCTTGCTGGATTGATCCCTTTACCATTATGTATTGCTCTTTTTTGTCTTTTTTGATCTTTGTTGGTTGAAAGTCTGAAAAAACCTCAATTTTTAACAATAAGAAGATAACTTATTACCCATTAAATCTAAACTGTATAGAGACATGGAAAAGTATATATAAATTTAAAACAAAGAACAGAAAATTGTAGTTGTAATATTATAAGTTTTTTAAAATGTAAAAGTGCATATGAATTAAAAAGCAGTAAGTTAAAAAAATACCAGCATAGAAGATTTAAATTCAAACATATCAATACTTAGAGATAGTAAATGGTTTAAACACTCAGATTAAAAGGCAGGGACTGTCAGTTTGGATTAAAAGAATTTTAAAAACAACAATAAAAGATGCACAGCCATATCCTGTCTACAAATAAAGTATCTTTTTTTTTCCCTGTAGAAAGTGCCAACCAGTTTTAAAGTAAAAGAATGGAAAATATTATACCATGCTAATTGTAATTGAAATAAAAGTTTGGCTACATACAAGGTAAATTCGCGATCAAGAAATGGAGATAACAAAGCTCATTTTGGCTGGGCGTGGTGGCTCACGCCTGTAATCTCAGCACTTTGGGAGGCCAAGGCCGGCAGATAATGAGGTCAGGAGTTCAAGACCAGCCTGGCCAACGTAGTGAAACCTCTTCTCTATTAAAAATACAGAAAATTAGCCAGTTGTAGTGGTGGGTGCCTGTAATCCCAGGTACTCAGGAGGCTGAGGCAGGAGAATTGCTTGACTCTGGGAGGCGGAGGTTGCAGTGAGCTGAGATCACACCATTGCACTCCAGCCTGGGGACAGTGCGAGAGTCTGTCTAAAAAAAAAAAAAAAGAAAGCTCTTTTCATAGTGACATAGGGGTCAATTTACTAAGTGAATATGCAATTATAACAATTGATGCATCTAATCATGAAGTTTCAAACCATATGAAGAAAAAGTGAATCAAAAGGAAGGATAGGATACAAAGGAACTCCCAAATTTATAGTTGTGTGGGTTTCAGCACCCCCTTTCAATAATTAATAGAGCAAGTACATATAAAAATTAAGGATATAAAAGATTTGAAAGAATTATATTAAAAAGTGGACTCTAGATGCTCCTGGACTTATGATGGGGTTATGTCTTGATTAATCCATCACAAATGAAAAATATTGTAAGTGAAAAATGCATTTAATACATCCTAGCTATATAACATCATAGCCAACTGTATCATAAATATGCTCAGAAAAATTACGTCAGCTTACAGTTGGGCGAGATTATCTAACAAAAAGACTATTTATAATAAAATGTTGACTGTCTCATGTAATTTATTGAATGTTGCACTGAAGTTTGGTTTCTGCTGATGGATTTCACTTTCACACTGTCATAAAGTCAAAAAGTTGTAAGTCGAACCATTCTAAGTCTGGGGTCATCTGTAAAAGATCTTTAGAAAATACTCATCCAACCACAGCCGAATATTTATTACTTTTCAAGTGCATACAAAGCATTAACCAAAATAGATCATAATCTGGATGATAAAATAGATGATAATAATTATAGAAGTTTTTATATTATTACAAATGTGTTTCTTGGCTATGATTAAATTATAAATCTAGAAGAGAAAGAGATAAGACATCTCCTAAACATTTTGAAAGAAGCCAACATCTTTGTGTATAGCCCATGGGTTATAGAAGAAATAAAATGAAAAATAAAGCATTATGAACTAAAGAATAAAATAAAAACAGGATATATTAAATTATGTGAGATGCATGATAGTGCTTAGAAGAAAACTTATAGTGCTGAAATACTTACATTTAAAAGGAAAAAAAATTACATCAATGGTTTAAGTTTTCCCCAAAGAAAATGCAAATAGAGTAGTAAAATAAATCAAGAGGAGTATATAAAAATGGTAAGAAAAACAAAGGTCAATATCATTGACAATGAAATTTAATAAAATCAATAAAATTAAAAGTTATTTCTTAATAAGTTAAATAAAAATGAAAACTTCTTTCCAGGCCAATCAAGATAAAAATGGAAGTCAAAGATTATGATTATCATGAATACAAGAGCAGGCATCAGTACATGTTTTATATATATATATATATATACACACACACACACACACACACACACATATATACACACACATTTATATATATTACATATATATAATTGCCTTGAATTTTTAAAATGTCTGCTCTTAAAAAGGGAATGTTAAGATAATTAAAACACTGAACATATATTTGGATAAAACATTTCAAAAAATATGTTTGATAAAGTATTTACATCTAGAATATATACAGAATTTTCAAGCTTGATTATATAAACACAAATTATCAAAAAACATAGGCAAAGCATTCAATCATTCAATTTACTAAGAAAGTATCAAGATAAAGAAATAAGAAAAAGCAGCCTAATTTACAATGGTTACAAAAAATTAAAAAATGCCTGGGAATAAATGTAAATAAATAGGTGAAAGAGCTCTACAATGAAAACTACAAAACATTAATGAAAAAAATTGAAGGAACAAAAGAAGACATCAAATTCTCATGGATTAGAAGAATTACCATTGTTCAAATGACCATATTACTTAAAGTAGTCTAAAGATTCAATGTAATCCCTATAAAATATCAATGGCAGTCTTCACAGAAATAGAAAAAAAAATCCTAACATTTGTATAGAACTACAAAAGACCCTAATCAGCCAAAGCAATCTTGAGGGGGAAAAAGAAGCTGCAGATATTACACTACCTAACTTCAAAATATACTACAGAGGTATAGTAACCAAAACAACATGGTACTGGCATTAAAACAGACAAATAGACCATTGAAACACAATGGAGAACCCAGAAACAAATTCATATATTTACAGCCAATTGTTTTTTGTCAAAGTTGCTAAGAACATGCAATGGAGAAAGACACCCCCTTCAATAAACGGTGCTAGGAAAACTGGATATTTATATGCAAATAAATGAAACTAGATACCTATTTACCATCATACACAAGAATCAACCCAAAATGGATTCAAAACTTAAAAGTAATAACCCAAACTATAAAACTCCCAGAAGAAACTAGGAGAAATACTTCCAAAAGTCAATCTAGGTAAAAATGTTATAGCCAAGACTTCAAAAATCACAGGGGATTTTGAAGTCTTGGCTATAGATATATAGATATAGATAAATATAGATAAATGGGACTATATTAAATGAAAATGCTTCTGCCCAGAAAGGGACATAATCAACAGAGTGAAGAGATAACATTTGGATTCGGAGAAAATATTTGCAAACTATTTATCTGTGAAGACTCATATGCAAGATATAAAAGAAACTCAAGCAACTCAATACCAAAAAAAAAAAAAAAGAAATAAAAATACAAACAACCCCATTAAAAAATGGGCAAAGGACATGAACACTTTTCAAAAGAAGACACATGTGTGGCCAACAATCATATGAATAAAACCTCAAAATCACTGATCATTAGAGAAACGCAAATCAAAACAACAATGAGATACTGTCTCACACTACTCAGAATGGCTATCATTAAAAAGTCAAAAAACAACAGATGCTTGAGAGGTTGCGGAAGAAAAAGAATGCTTGTGTACTGTTGATGGGAGTATAAATTAGTTCAACCATTGAGAAAGACAGTGCGGCAATTCCTCAAAGACCTAAAGAAAGAAATACCATTCAACCCAGCAATCCCATTACTGGGTAAATACCCAGAGGAATATAAATCATTCTATTATAAAGACACATGCATGCATATATTCATTGCAGCCCTATTCACTATAGCAAAGACACGGAATCAACCTAAATGCCTATCGGTGATAGAATTGATAAAGAAACTGTGGTACATATATATCATGGACTACTATGCAGCCATAAAAATGAAGGCGATCATGTCCTTTGTGGAGACATGGTTGGAGCTGGAGGCCATTATCCTTAACAAATTAATGCAGCAATAGAAAACCAAATACTGCATGTCTCACTTATAAGTGGGAGTTAAATGATGAGAACACACAGACACAGAGAGAGGAACAACACCACTGGGGTCTTTGGAGGGTGGAGAGTGCGAGCAGGGAGAGGATCAGGAAAAGTAACTAATGGGTACTAGGCTGAATACCTGGGCGATGAAATAATCTGTACAACAAACTCACATGACACAAGTTAACCTATGTAACAAATCAGCATATGTACTCCTGAACTTAAAAGTGCAAAAAGTCATAAGAAATCATAAAAAATAAACCAGAAACTCCCAAACAAATAATCTAATAAAAAAGTGGGCAAAGAGTGAAATGTCTGAAGAGATATTTCTCAAGAGAAGACATACAAATGGCCAAAATATATCTGAAAAAATATTTGTCATCAATAATCATCAAGGAAATGCAAATCAAAACCTCAATGAAATAGCTCACCTCAGGTAAAATGGCTATTATAAAGAAGACAGAAAATAACTAATTCTGGCAATGGTGCAGAGAAAAGGGAGCTCACATTGTACATGGGAATGTAGATTAGTACAGCCATATAAAAAAACGTGTGAAGATTTCTCAAAAAATTAACAATAGAGCTACCATATGATCTAGCAATCCCACTACTGGATATTTATCCAGAGAAAAAGAAATCAGTATGTCAAATGGTCATCTGTAACCCCATATTTAATATAGTACTATTCACAATAGCTAAGATATGGGATTAACCCAAATTTCCATCAACAGATAAATGAATAATGTGTATATATAATATAAGAAACATATACATATATATGACAAAGAAATACACACACACACATTGATATGGTTTGGCTGTGTCCCCATCCCATTCTCAACTTGAATTGTATCTCCCAGAATTCCCACATGTTGTGGGAGGTACTCAGTGGGAGGTAATTGAATCATGGGGGCCAGTCTTTCCCGTGCTATTTTTGCAATAGTGAATGTCACATGAGATATGATGGGTTTATCAGGGGTTTTCACTTTTCTTCCTCATTTTCTGTTTCTGCTGTCATGGTTCTGAGGCCTCCCTAGCAATGTAGAACTGTAAGTCCAATTAAACTTCTTTTTCTTCCCAATCTTGAGTATGTCTTTATCAGCAACGTAAATACAGACCAGTACTGCAAATTGGTACCAGTAGAGTGGGACACTGCCGAAAAGATACCCAAAAATTTGGAAGTGACGTTGGAACTGGGTAACAGGCAGAGGTTGAAACAGTTTGGAGGGCTCAGAAGAAGACAGGAAAATGTGGGAAAGGTTGGAACTTCCTACATAATTATTGAATGGCTTTGCCCAAAAGTCTGATAGTGATATGGACAATAAGGTCCAGGCTGAGGTGGTCTCAGATGGAGGTGAGGAACTTATTGAGAATTGGAGCCAAGGTGACTCTTGTTATGTTTAAGCAAAGAGACTGGCAGCATTTTGCCCATGCCCTAGAGATTTGTGGAACTTTGAACTTGAGAGAGATGATTTAGGGTATCTGGCAGAAGCATTCTGCCAGATTTAGGGTATCTTGCAGAGGCAACAAAGCATTCAAGAGGTGACTTGGGTACTGTTAAAGATACTCAGTTTTATAAGGGAAGCAGAGCATAAAAGTTTGGAAAATTTGCAGCCTATTTGATAGAAAAGAAAAACCCATTTTCTGAGGAGAAATTTAAGCTGGCTTCAGAAATTTGTATAAGCAGCAAGGAGCCAAATGTGAATGAATTCCCAAGACCATGGGGAAAATGTCTCCAGGCCACGTCAGAGACCTTCATGGAAGCCCCTCCTGTAACAGGCCCAGAGGCCCAGGAGAAAAAAGTAATTTTGTGGGCCAGGCTCAGGGTCCCCATGCTGTGTGCAGCCTGAGGACTAGATGCCCTGTGTCCCAGCTGCTCCAGCACTGGCTGAAAAGGGCCAATGTCCAGCTCAGGCTGGCTTCAGAGGGTGGAAGCTGCCAAGCCTTGGCAGCTTCCACATGGTGTTGATCCTGAGGGTGCACAGAAGTCAAGAATTAAGGTTTGGGAATTTCTGCCTAGATTTCAGCAGATGTATGGAAATGCCTAGATTCCCAGGCAAAAGTTTGCTGCAGGGGCGGGGCGCTCATAGAGAACCTCTTCTAGGGCAATGTGAAAGGAAATGTGGGGTTGGATACCCCACGTAGAGTCCCTACTGCAGCACTGCCTAGTGGAGCTGTGAGAAGAGGACTACCGTCCTTCAGATCCCAGAATGGTAGATTCCCCGATAGCTTGCACTTTGCACCTGGAAAAGCTGCAGACACTCAAAGCCAGCCGTTAAAGCAGCCAGGAGGGAGACTGTACCCTGCAGAGCCACAGGGGCGGAGCTGCCCAAGACCGTGGGAACCCACCTCTTGCATCAGCGTGACCTGAATGTGAGACCTGGAGAAAAAGGAGATAATTTTGGAGCTTTAAAATTTGACTGCCCCACTGGATTTTGGACTTGCATGGGCCCTGTAACCCCTTTTTTGGGGCCAATTTCTCCCATTTGAAATGGCTGTTGTGTCTAGGAAGTAACTAGCTTGTTTTTGATTTTACAGGCTCATAGGTAGAAGGGACTTGCATCGTCTCAGAGACTTTGGACTTCAGGCTTTTGGGTTAATGCAGAAATGAGTTAAGACTTAACGGTGATTGTTGGGAAGGCAGTACCCCAGGGAGAGGTAATTGAATCATGAGGGCCGGTCTTTCCTGTGCTGTTCTCCTGATAGTGAATAAGTCTCGCGAGATCTGATGGGTTTATCAGGGGTTTCCGCTATTGTTTCGTCCTCATTTTCTCTTGCTGCTACCATGGAAGAAGCGACTTTCGCCTCCCGCCGTGATTCTGAGGCCTTTCCAGCCATGTCAAACTGTAAGTCAAGTTAAACCTCTTTTCCTTCCCAGTCTCAAGTACGTCTTTATTAGCAGCGTGAATATGGACTAATACACACACACACACACACACACACACACACACACACACACATCTGAGGCACAGAAAGAGAATAGCACATATTTTCACTAAAAATTAAAAAAAACAAACTTCAGCTCATGAAAGTACAGAGTAAGCCGGGCGCGGTGGCTCACGCCTGTAATCCCAGCACTTTGGGAGGCCGAGGCGGGCAGATCATGAGGTCAGGAGATCAAGACCATCCTGGCTAACACGGTGAAACCCCGTCTCTACTAAAAATACAAAAAATTAGCCGGGCGCGGTGGTGGGCGCCTGTAGTCCCAGCTACTCCGGAGGAGTATGGCGTGAACCTGGGCGGCAGAGCTTGCAGTGAGCTGAGATAGCGCCACTGCAGTCCGGCCTGGGCGAAAGAGCGACACTCCGTCTCAAAAAAAAAAAAAACAAAACAAAAAGAAAGTACAGAGTAAAATTGTGGGTTTTAGTAGCTGGGGAGGGTAGAGGGAGGGAAGAATGGGGAGAAGTTGTTTAACAGGTATCAAGTGTTAGGGGATTAGAAAGAAAGTAGTTCAGTTGTACTGCATCCCTGTAGGGTGAATATAGTTGACTACAATTTGTTGTTATGTTCTTAAAACTTAAAGGAGAGAATTTTAAATGTTCACAACACAAAGAAATAACCAAGGTTTGAGGTGATGGATATGCTAATTACCCTGATTTGATCAGTACACGTTGTACACAAAAATATCACCCTGTGTTCCATAAATGTGTACAATTAATACATATCAAGTAAAAATAAAAGGAAAGAAAACGTGCTCAACATCCTTAGTCCTTAAGGACATGTACGTTAAATCACAATTAGATACCACTGCATAGCTACTGGAATGGAAAACGAACAAAACAAGCAAATACCTGGAAATACAAATGCTAGTGAAGATGTGAATTAAATATTCATACACGATTGATGGGGATGCAAACTGATGCAGCCTCTTTAAAATGCATTTTGGAAGTTTGTTACCAAGTGAAACATATACTTATCACCTGAACCATCAATTCCACAACAAGCTGTTTATGGAAGATAATTGAAAACATATGTTTACCCAAAAACTTCTATGTAAATGTTTGCGTGTGTTTGTGTGTGTTTGATAAATATGGAAAAGAAAAAAATTAATGAACAAGAAACAAATAAATTTCAGACATGAATTTTGCATGAAGAAAGGGGTTGACAACAATGGGATATCGAGAAATTTTTTTTGCGATAGAAGGTTCTATATCTTTATTATTGCTTGGTGTACACGACTCTATATGCTTGTGAAAACTCATAGAACTGTACATTACATTAGGTGAATTTTATGTAAATTAAACCTCAAGGTTATTTTACATAAAAAATAAGTCTCAATTTTCCAAACATACGTTTCCCAAAGGTTTTTCTTTAACCTAGAAAACATACAAGTATACGTTTATATAATATGATAATTATGACATAAGATTTAGTAATTATTTTAGGGTTTACAGTATGTCTTAATGATCATATTCAATGTTCAGATAATATTGCATCACTTCATACATCGGATAAGTATACAACCATACGTGTCCCTCTCCCTTTACCTGGTATTTGCTTTTTGCCATACATTTCCCTTCTACATATGGTCACATATCTCTTGGGTAGATATCTGAAAATGATATGGTTGAGCTACAGTGCACATACATGTTTACCTTTTTGAGAAACTTCCAAATTCTTTTCCAAATGAACTGTACCATGTTACATTCTCATGACAGGTATGTGTAAATTCTAATTGCTCCAAATACTCACCAAAATGTGATATGGTCAGTGTTGTTGTTATTTAATTTGAGCTTTCTAGTCAATATGTGACCATTATGGAATATTCTGCATTTTTCCTAATCAATATTAATGTTCAGCACCTTCTTATATTGATTTTGCCATCAAAGATAGACTATTAGGAATAACAGTGAATTTGGCATCATCATACATGCAACACTGGTATAAAAATTTGCATTCTATGTACCAACAAAAGCACAAAGAATGAAAGACAAACTACGACAGATTTCATGTCTAATTATTAAATATAAACAAATCATTTATAAGAAAACAAATGAATGCTACTTCATAACTAAGACAGTTAAATATATCTTAAACAGAATTTTAATAGTGCTATTGATAATAAAGATGTGTTGAAATAAATTAATATTAAGAACTGCTTTTCATCAAATAATAGAAATAAAAGCATAAAGTACAAACCATATGAGAGATGTTTTCATAGTGTATCTAACATATAACTACTATATTTAGTATATTTTTAAAACTCCCACAAATCAGAAAGTCAGAGAAAACACAAAAGAAACATTTGCTAAGTATACGATCTTTTAAAAGCTTTTCGCATAAAATCATATTCAAGTGGCTGAATAACATGAAAAGTCACTCTATATAGACATCAAAGAAATGCAAATTAAAACTTCATTTGCTAGCACTACACACCCACCAGCCTGACTAAATTAAAAAATAGACAATAAATTCAAATGTTTTGATGATGTATACAAATTTAAATTCTCATACATTGCTGGTGAGATCATAAATTCTTCAAATAACTGTTGGCCAGTATCTAGTAAAGATGGACATGTGCACACTTTATAGTCTGGAAATTAAAATCCAGGTATATACTCAAAGAAATTTCCAAAGTAAAAATTGAAAAATCTGGTAAAATATCAAATCTTCATAGCAACATAATATGTTAATATCAACAATATATTAGACAAATTATGGCACATCTGTCTAGAATATAATGATATATAACAAATGGAATGGAAAATTCACTATGTGCAGCAATAGAATTGAATTTCATAAACATAATAATAAGTAAAAGAAGCCAGACATGAAACTACATTTTATGATCCCCTTTATATGAAGAGTACAATCAGGTAAACTAATCTATGTTAGAAATCAGAATAGTGATTATCCTAGTGGCTGGTGGTGAGAGAGGGAGGTACTCAAAAAGGAGGCACTTGAGGGATAGTAACATTCTTTTCTTAATCATGGGATGATTACATGGGTATGTTCAATATGAAAAATTCATTTTCTTCTTCTCCTCTTCCACTGTCTTTATCTTCTGTTAGCTAAAATGCAATGTAGTGTGCTGTGTACAAGGACATGCAATTTGGATTTCTAAAAGAGTATTTGGATCTTAGGCATGTTATCTAGGGGTGGATTAGTTGGGCTGTAGATGGACTCTTTGCTAATCCCTTGGGATATCAGCTGTGACTGTCTTTTGATGTAATTTAGTTCCTTTGCAGAACCATGGCTTTGATTAGTGACTCAACATCCACATGTGAATATTTGAGTGAGGGGAATCATTTTAAAGCTCTCAATTATTCATTGATAGCTCATTGTTCAGCTATCTAGGATTAAATTTCTTTCTTTGTCAAATGTGCTATTCCAGGTAGTACATTAAAAAGTAGTTCCATTATAAACCAATCAAAATTATACCAGACTCTGTGCATGTGAAGTACTGTACTAAGACTTTTAGTTATTTATTGAATAAGTAAATATCTGGTATAAAAGTCATTTATCATCACTACATTTTAAAATTATTGAATTTTTTGAACAAAGTATTATAGGCAATTAAAAAATTACAGAAATCCAGAGAAGCAAGATAAATTCTGTGGCCTCTATTACATGGAAATCTCTCTTGAAACTCTGTTTCATACTGGATTTGCAGAAATGTATACATTTCAGTATCATCCTTTATTACTCTCTGAAGTGCTCCTAGAAATTGATTGATTTTGAGCATCTAATAAATTTAATAAATAAAAAATATTGAGAGAAATACTGCTGTGGTAAGGAAATTTCCTATCTATATACCCATTAACTTGAGTTATGGAGTAATGGACTTTAGTTGAGTTCAAAGGCAAATCAATGTCATGCAGAATGGGGTAATAAAATTGTGCCCCATAAAGTTCTTGAATATCAGCCAAATCACAAAATATTTGGCAGAATTCCTAGAGTTTTCTTACAGAATATTGCTTCAGGATGTTTTAAAATGCTCATAAGCACATTTAATGTACATGTTGCCAGTAAACTAGGGAGCTATAATAGTGTTTCCTTATTCTGATAGACGCTAATCGCTGTATACTCTAGTAGTTCAAAATGTTTAAATCAGAAAATAAGTGGAATTTTTTAGAAAACTAAATTATTTATATCAAGATAATTCACTAATTTCTTATATTAATGGAATAGAAAGTACTCGGGTCTAGAGTATATGTATAGAAAGGGAAAATAAGGGGTTGAATCACTACTGAGGGACTAGAGAATGTCTAAATACTTCTGTCAGGCAGAAGACCACATATAGTTCTTATGGTCTGGTCTGAGAAGTTTGAATAGGATGTGGGAGTTATCCAGAGCAGTGAGTAGACTGAGACTGAAAAGAAGAGACAATTGAAAATTCAATGGGAGGACGTAAGTTGTTAAACTAAAGAGAAGGATTAAAGTGAAATGAAACCTTGGAGCATGTGAGATAGATATTTAGGCCTTGTGTCCAAATTTCAGAAGTATATAAGGCAGTAAGATACATATGAATAGAAGACTCTCAATGGCATATAAATTAAGGATATTAAACAAAAACTAAATAATTTTGGACAGGACGAGGACAGGTGTTTCTTAGCTATATGTGAGTTTTTCAGATAACTCTTTGATAAATAATTGGAAGTTAATATAAGAAGCATATATTGCTTATTTTCTATTCATATTTAGTGAATCATCTACTTTTCTATTAATGAGTAGTATGGGAGAAGCTATAATTAAAGAAACGTTCACTGTCTTCATGAAATGCGAAAGATAAGCTTTCTGACAAAGAGCCACAAATGTCATTATTGTGATGGCTCCAGTGCCCAGAACATACATATCTGTCAAGTGACACAGTGCTCACCCTTTATGAATGGTGCTCTTATAAAATATACTTCAATCAGAATATGATATATGTTGCCTTAATACAACTACTCTAGAAAGGATTACATGTCAGTATTTAATAACGGTGTTTTGGTTTTTTATAGTGGAAATGCATTATTTCTGTTTTCACAACTTTGCAGTTTCTTGTGAGGAAAGGATTATTTTTGTGTGCAGAGCGATTTTGATATTAGTAAAAAGTTGCCAGATGGGTGAGTCAATATGAAAAAGCTGGAGAAATAGATGAAGCTTCTTTAGTAAATGCTTAATTATTTATTGAACTCAGGACTATAACTCATCTCCACCATGAAAATGAACTGAGATATTGCCTCCTTAAAAATATCAAAATAAAGTATATGTTTTGAAAGAAAAAATAAGAAAATTTGCTTTTACCATTACAGGAAGATGTTTAGCCCTAGAAAATATTTTCAGAAATTATCAAGATAGACGTGGTTGATCTCAACTAAATTTCTAGTTAAGGGAAAGGTAACAGCTGAATAGAAGCCCTTACTTATTGTCCCCCAACCCCAAACAGGAACATCAAAGTTGATATCTAGACAAAAAAGCAATTTCATAAGAATAAAAAATCAAGTGAGCAATCACAGTCCTGGTTTTAACTTCATATCACTGAGAGAAGCACTGAAGACATTAGGAAAGACAGTCTTGAGTTGCTGACACTACCCCTTCTCCATGTTCTGGCAGTGGATGTGTGGCATGAAGAGGGAATCTCAGCTTTTCAGGGAGGAAGTGAGCAATGCCTGTGGGAATATGCATTGAACTCAGTGCTACCCTATCATAGTAGAAGGCAAAACCAGATGAATTCAGCTGACACCCACCCACAGAAGGAGTGTGTAGACTACCCCAAGCCAAAGGGGAATCACCCATCCCAGTGGTTTTTTATTCCAGAAAGCCTTGTTACCATAGGCTAAAGGGCTTTGGGGTTCTAAATAAACTTAAAAGGCAGTCTAAATCACAAGGACTGCAATTCCTAGGCAAGTTCTAGTGCTGTGCTGGGCTCAGAGCCAGTGGACATAGAGGACACATGACCTCGTGAAATGCCAGTCAGGGAGGCTAAGGGAGTGCTTGCACCGCCCCTCCACCCAGCCCCAGGCAACACAGCTTGTAGCACTGAAAAAAATGACTTATCTTCTGCTTGAGTAGAGGCGCGGGAAGAGTAAAGAGAGCTTTGTCTTGCATCTTGGATACCCGCTTAGCCACAGTAAGAGAAAGCACTAGGCAGAGTCTTGAGGCCCTTGTTCCAGGCCCTAGTTTCTGGATGACATTTCTAGACATACTGTGGGCCAGAAGGGAACTCGCTGTCTTGAAGGAAAAATCCAGTACTACAGACACGATTTATTACCTGCTGACTAAAGAGCCCTCAGGCTAAGGTGAGAGAACTCCATCTGCTTGAGAAAAGCAGAGAGAAAAGTAAAGAGGATTTTTTGCATCTTAGGTACCACCTTGGCCACAGCAGGGTAGAGCACCAAATGTGTTCTTGGGGCACTTAATTCCAGGCCTTGTCTCTTGAATGGCATTTCTGGACCTACACTGGGCCAGAGGGGATCCCACTTCCCTGAACGGGGAGACTCAAGCCTGGCAGCATTCACCATAAGCTGACTTAAATGCCCTTGGGCATTAAGGAAACATCAGGGGTAGCCTGGCAGTACTCTCTATAGTCCTGCTGTTGTGGCAGTCATGGGGGAGGCTCCTCTGCCTTTGGAAAGGGGATAGAAGAGTGGGAGGAACTTTTTCTTGTGATTTGAGTGTCAGCTTAGCCACAGTAGTATAAAGCACCATATGAATTTCTAAGACTTTTGACACCAGGCCCTTGCTCCAGCACAGCATCTCTGGAACTGCCTAGGGCCTGGGGAAACTTGCCACCTCTAAGGGAAGAACACAAGCCTGGCTGGCTTCACCACATGCTGACTGCAGAGCTTGAGGGCCTTGAGTATACATAGATGGCAGCCAGGGAGTGATTACAGTGGGCCTTGAGTGAGCCCAACTGCTGTGCTAGCTTCAGGTCTGACCCAACACATTACCAGTGGTAGTGGTTAAAGGGGTGCTTGTCTTACCGTACCCCCTGCTCTAGGTGGCTCAGCAGATAGAGAGTGAGAGAAAGACTCTTTTTGTTTGGGAGAAAATAAGGGAAGGGAATAAGAGTATCTGCCTGGTAAACCAGAGAATTATTTTGAATCTTACTCAATATCACAAAGGCAATACCTCTGTTAGTCCACAAAAACAACAGTGTTACTGGGCTTGAGGTACCGTCTAATGAAGATAAGGCATAGATCCTGATATATGGTTTGGTTCTGTTTCCCCACCAAAATCTCCTATTGAATTGTAGTTCCCAGTGTGGAGAAGGGGCCTAGTGGGAGGTGATCGCTATTTTTGTGATAGAGATCTGATGAGATCTGGTTGACTGAAAGTGTGTAGCACCTCCCCCATCTCTCTCTTTTTCTCCTGCAACAGTCATGTAGGATGTACTGGCTTCCCCTTCCACAATGATTGTAAATTTCCTAAGGCCTACCCAGCCATGCTTTCTGTACAGCTTGTGGAACTGTAAGTCAATTAAATCTCTTTTCTTCAAGAATTGCCCAGTGTCGGATATGTCTTTATACCAGTGTGAGAATGGACTAATACAGATTACACCCAAATCCCTTTGAATGCATGGGAAGCCTTTCTAAGAAAGAAGGGTACAAATAAGCCCAATCTGCAGAAACTATAGTCAATACCTAACTCTTAAATGCTCAGACAACGACAAACACCCACCAGCATCAAGAAAATCAGGAAAACATGATCTCACCAAATGAAATACATAAGGAAACAGGGACCAATTCTGGAGATAAAAAGATATACAACCTTTCAGACAGAGAATTCAAAATAGCTGTGTTGAGAAATTACAATGAAACTCAAGATAACACAGAGATGGAATTCAGAATCCTATCACATAAATTTTTAAATGAGATTAAAGTAATTAAACAGAAATTAGCAGAAATTTTAAAGTTGAAAAATGCAGTTGACAATACTGAAGAATGCATCAAAGTCTTTCAGTAGCAGAATGGATCAAGCGGAAAAAGACTTAGTGAGCTTGAAAACAGCCTGTTTGAAAATACATAGTCCAGGAGAAAAAAGAAAAAAAAATAAAACACACCTACAGGATCTCAAAAATAGCATGGGAAAGGACAAATCTAGCAGTTATTGGCCTTAAAGAGGAGGTAGCGAGAGAGACAGGGGCAGAAAGTTTATTCAAAGCTTTCTTTAACATTCTTTCATTTTGACCTTGGAAAATCTGATGATTATGTATCTTGGGGATAACCTTGTGTAGAGTCTGGCAGGAGTTCTCTGTATTTCCTGAATTTTACTGTTGGCCTCTCTAGCAAGGTTGGGGAAGTTTTCATAGACAATACTTTAAAATATGTTTTTCAAGTTGTTTGCTTTCTCCCCCTCCCTTTCAGGGATGCCAATGATTTGTAGGGTTGATCTCTATAAAATTCCATACTTCTTGGAGGTTTTGTTCATTCCTTTTTATTCTTATTTTCTTTAAATTCAAAATTTCTTTATTTTTGACTGACTGTTTTATTTCAAAGAGCCAGTCTTCAAGTTCTGAGATTCTTTCCCCAGTTTGATCTGTTCTATTGTTAAAACTTGTAATTGCATTGTGGAATTCTTGTGTTGTTCAGCTCTGTCAGCTCTGTAAGGTTCTTTTATACTGACTATTTTGTCCTTCAGCTCCTATACTGCTTTTTTGTAATTTTCAGTTTCCTTGGATTCATTTTTTTTTTACCTTCCTGAATTTTGATTATTTTTTTTTCTATCCATATTCTAAATTCTATTTCTGTCATTCCAGCCAGCTCAGCCTGGTTAAGAACTCTTGTTGGAAAACTGGTATGGTAATTTAGAAGACATGACACTCTGGACATTTGAGTTACCAGAGTTCTTTTGTTTGTTCTTTCTCATCTTTGCATGTGGGTGTTGCTGTAACTGATGAAGAAAACGTGGTACATATACACCATAGAATATACTATGCAGTCATAAAAAAGAATAAGATCATGTCCTTTGTGGGAACATGGATGAAGCTGGAGGCTACTATTCTTAGCAAACTTACACAGGAAAAGAAAACCAAATATTGTATGTTCTTACTTATAAATTGAAGCTAAATGATGAGAACCTATGAACACAAAAAAGGAAATAACAGATACTGGGGTCTTCTTGATGGAGGAGGCTGGGAAGGGGGAGAGAAGAAGAATAAATAACTATTGGCTACTGGGCTTAATACCTGGGTGATGAAATAATTTGTAGAACAACATGAATTTACCTATGTAACAAAATCTCACATGTACCCCCAAACCTAAAATAAAAGTTAAAAAAAGAGAGAAAAAACATTGATTAAAGAACTTAAAGAAGACACCAAAAATGGAAAACTATTCCATGTTCATGGATTGAAAAAAATCAATATTGTTAAAATGTCTGAACTACCCAAAGCAGTGTACAGATTCAATGCAATCTCTATCAAAATACCAACATTCTTCACAGAAATTAAACTATCCTAAAATGTGTATGGGGTACAAAAGTACCAGAAGAGCCCTAGCTATCCTGAGCAAAAAGAACAAAACTGGAGGAATCACATTACCTGACTTCAAATTATAGTACAGAGCTATAGTAACCAAAACAGCATGGTACTGACATAAAAACAGACACACCAACTAAAGGAACAGAATAGAGAACCAAGAAACAAATTCATACATCTACAGTAAACTCTTTCTTTTACAAAGATGCCATAAACATATATTGGAGAAGGAACAGTTTTTTTCAATAAATAGTGCTGGGAAAACTAGATGTTCATATGTGGTAGAATGAAACCTAGACTCCTCTCTTTTGCCATATACAAAAATCAAATAAAAATGGATTAAGAACTTAGATCTAAGACCTAAAATTATGAAACTACTAAACAGAAACATTGGCAAAACTCTCTAGGACACTGGATTTTGCTAAGGTTTCTTGGTAATATCCCCTGTAGCACAGGCAACAAGCAAAAATTGACACACGGGATCATATGAACTTAAAAACTTTCTGGAAAACAAAGGAAACTATCCACAAAGTGAAGAGACAACTCATAGAATGGGAGGAAATATTTGCAAACTACCTATCTGACAAGGGATCAATAAGCACAACATATAAGAAGCTCAAACAATTCAATAGCAAAAAATCTAATAATCCAATTATAAAAAGGGCAAAGGACCTGAGTATACATTTCTCAAAAGAAGACATGCAAATGGCAAACAGATATATGAAACGGTGCTCAATATCATTGATCATCAGAGAAATACAAATAAAAACTACAATGAGATATCATCTTACAACAGTTAAAATGGCATATATCCAAAAGACAGGCAACAACAAATGGTAGCAAGGATGTGGAGAAAGTGAAAACCTTGTACACTGTTGGTGGAAATGTAAATTACTGCATCCACTATGGAGAACAGTATAGAGGTTTTTCAAAAAGCTAAAAATAGAGCTACCATACTATCCAGCTATCCCACTGCTAGGTATATATCCAAAAGAAAGTAAATCAGCATATTGAAGATATATCTGTACTACTATGTTTATTGAAACACTTCACAATAGCCAAGATTTGAAAGCAACTTGTGTTCAGCAGAATAGATAAAGAAAATGTGGTACTTATAAACAATAGAGTACTATTCAGCCATAAAAACAGATCCATTCATATGCAATAGCATGTATGTAACTGGAGGTCATTAGGTTAAGGGAAATAATCCAGGCACAGAAAGACAAACTTCATATGTTCTTGCTTATTTGTGGGAGCCAAAAAAAATAAAACAGTTAATCTCATGGAGATAGACAGTAGAATGATAGTTACCAGAGGTTGGGAAGGGTAGTACAAGAATGGGAGAGAAGTGGGTATGGTTAATGGGCATAAACAATATAATTAGAAAGAATAAAAAAAAAACCTAGTATTTGATAGCAAAACAGTGTGACTGTAGTCAATAATTACATAGTATATTTTAACATAACTGTTTAAAACTTGATAGATTATAACACAAAGGATTAATACTTGAGGTGATAGATACCCCATTTACCATGATGTGATTACTAGGCATTGCATGTGTGTATCAATATGTCTCTTGTACTGTACCGCATGAATATATGCACCTACTGTGTGTCCAGAAAATTAAAAATTAAAAGCTAAATGGAATTTTTAAAAAATAATAAAAATATTACAATTCTACTTAAAGCCATATCAAAATAATCTAAAAAGAAAAATACTATTAAATTAAGCTTTAATAATTGCTTAATGAATCTTGTAGTTATACCTAACAAAGTAGGAGATGTGGATCAAGATCAGTCTAGAACTCTGTTAGTTCCCTTTCGTGTTGTACAGGAAAGAATAATAAAAATATTTACAAGGGAATTTTCTGTGTCCAGACACTCCTTTTAAACCAAATATATACAAATCTTCCAAATAGCCTATATCCACCAATATAAAAAATGAATTCATTTCTTATAGAAGTAATTTTAATTACAAATAAAAAAATAACTTTACACTGGAGAAACCTAGGAGTCCTTACCTTGTCATCAATTTGATCAAAGTTAGCATTACCATACATGAGACAAATAGACTATAAACCCAGATATGATGCACTAAGAAGAACACAGATTTACTTTTGTAGTATTCCTGCCCAAAATACAAAACTTTTCACCTTAAAGATCCATAATACTAAAATACACTACACCATTGATAATAATTAATAATTATTAATTAATTAATAATTGATAATAAATAACCTACTCTACACCATTAATAGTCCCCTTATATGATTTGGCTCTGTGTCCCACCCAAATCTCACCTGGAATTGTTATCTCCATGTTTTGCATTTTCCCCCATCTGTTCTCCTGATAGTGAGGGAATTCTCACAAGGTCTGGTGGTTTTAAAAGCGGCAGTTTCCCTGTGCACTCTCTCTCCTTTGGCCTTGTGAAGAAGCCATTTGCTTCTCCTTCATCTTTCGTCGTGATTGTATGTTCCTGGGGCCCCCCCAGCCAAGCAGAACTGTGAGTCAATTAAACCTCTTTTATTTATAAATTACACAGCCTCAGGTAGTATCTGTATAGCACTGTGAATATGGACTAATCCATTTCCCCTTATCGCAAGATTTTGCTTTTGTGGTTTCAGTTTTCCACCATCAACTGCGTTCTGAAAATAGATTACTACAGTACATAAAATAAAACATTTTGAGATGCAGAGAGAGAGACAGAGAAAGAGATCAAATTCATGTAACTTTTACTAAAACATATTGTTATAATTGTTCTAGTTTATTATAAGTTATTGTTAATCTTTTACTGTGACTAATTTATAAGTTAAAGTTTATTATAGTTATGTATGTATTGGAAAAAACATAAGATAGATGGAGTTCAATACTATCTGTGGTTTCAGGCATCCTTTTGGGTGTCTTGGAAAGTATTCCTTGTGGATAAGAATCCCAGGATGTTTGTTTGTACTTTACAAATTGCTTTGTGAAAGCAGCTCAGTAGAGGATCAGTAAAATAAAGTGAAATATACATTGGTAACAATGAGATAATCTAGACCTTAAAAGGTAGTCTATAATTTTGTAAATTCAAATACAGTTTTGGAACACCTACCTAACTGCTATGCAATCTTATCACAATTGGATAAACATACACAAAAGATGTCAAAAGGTTTCAACAGTGCCCTAGTTTAAGAATCTTCTAACACAATTAATTTAAGCAAAAACTAGAGTAAGTTGTTTATGGGACTGGCATCAATACAAAGGGGTTCAGTTTCTGTAGGAGATCAAGAGAAACATTGGGAAATTGAGCTGCAGATAGATATTAAGAGAAATATATTAAATTATTTCTATTGAGTGAACTTCAGAGTAATATTTGTACTAAGAAAATATTAGGAGTCAAGATATACATATTTAATACAAACAAGTATCAAACTTGGAAATCTTTATTGAATCTTCTAATAATAAGCATATAATTCAAAATGAAAGATTTTGGCTATGTTATTTTTTGATAACATCAGTTAATTTTTGTTGCTCAACTTTATGCTTTTTTCTATGACCTTTAAGGACAAGAAATCATCCTTATTCACCTTGAAGTCATCATAGTGACCTAGCACAGTTACCTATTTACTATTTTCCAATGACTGAGGAATTGAAATGAATTGAACATCTATTATCAAGTCCATTAAAAATAAGTTTAGCACTTTTTCTGTTTATAAGTGTAATAGGGAAATGTATAAG
Organism: Homo sapiens; assembly: GCF_000001405.40. NCBI lineage: Eukaryota > Metazoa > Chordata > Mammalia > Primates > Hominidae > Homo > Homo sapiens. The sequence continues at coordinate 119,894,019 of NC_000007.14, read as the reverse complement.
ATCATGGACTATGCAATCACACTGCTATTGAATTTGCAGTGTAAACATATTGGAACATACTGTTTTTTGTATGTAAATTTTGTATCCTTCAACTTTTCTGAATTTGGTTGTCGGTTCTGATAGATATTGTTAGAGTCTTTAGGTTTTTCCGAATATAAGATCATATCACCTGCAAATAAACATAATTTGATTTCCTTCTTTCCAGTTTGAATGTCTTTTATGTCTTTATCTTGTCTGATTGCTTTAGCTAGGACTTCTGTTAATATGTTTACTAACAGTAGTAAATGTGGGCATCCTTGTTGTGATCCAGATCTCAGAGGCAGGCTTTCCATTTTTTAACATTCAGTATGATACTTGTTGTGGGTCTGTTGTATATGACTTTTATTGTGTTGAGTTATGTTCTTTCTCTATCCAGTTTCTTTTTGGGGGAAGTTTATCACAAAGGGATGTTGAATCTTATCAAATGCTTTTTTAGCAACAATTGAAATGATCATATTGTTTTTGTCCTTATTTCTGTTGATAGTTTGCTCTTTTTTGGATGTGTCTTTGCCTGATTTGATATTAGGCTAATAATGGTCTTATAGAATGAGATTGAAAATACTACAATACTACCTCCTAGTCTACTTCTTTTTTTTTTTTTTAATAGTTTCAGTAGGATTGGCATCAGTTCTTTTTTAAATGTTGCGTAAAATTCCGCTGTGAAGAAAATAAGTCCTGGGCCTTTCTATTGTGGAAGACATTTTATTAAAGCTTTGATTTTGTTTACTTGTTCATGGTTCAATCTTAGTGGGTTGTGTGTGTTTAGGAATTTCTCCATTTGTTGTAGGTTTTATAGTTTATTGGCATATGTATGGTCACAGTGATCTCTAATGATCCTTTGAATTTCTGTGATATCAGTTGTAACGACTCCTTTTTCATCCCTGATTTTATTTATTTGGATGTTCTGTCTTTTTTTTTTTAAGTTGGTCTGGCTAAAAGTTTCTGAATTTTGTTTATCTTTTCAAGAAACAAATTTTCAATTTTTTGATCTGTTGTAGCTTTGTCTTTGTTTCAATTTTATTTGTTTTTGCCTGGATCTTTACCATTTCTTTCCTTCTACTAATGTTGGGTTTCATTTTCTCTTGCTTTTCTAGCTCTTTAAGATGCATCATTAGGTTGTTTGAGGGTTTTTTCTTCTTTAATTTTTTGTTCTTCTTTTCCAAGGGCTATGCAGTAGAAGCTGAGGTCTTCGATTTAGGATCTTCCTTGTTTTCTAATATAGGAACTAAATACTATACATTTTCCTTTAGCTACTACTTTAGAATCATCGCTAAAATTTCAGTTAGTTTCTTATTTTCATTTTCTCTTCTAAAAATTCTTTCACATTTTTGTTTATATTTCTTTGACCCATGGGTTATTTAGAAGTTTGCTAATTTATAATTATTTGAAGTATTTCTAGATAGCTTTATGTTATTGATTTCTCATTTAATTGTGAACAGAGAAATACTTTGCATTCATTAAATGCTTTTAATTGTATGGAGGCTTATTTTATGGCTCAGAGAATTATCTATATTTGTCCCCTGTACCCTTAAAAAATATATTTTCTTTTTGTGAGTGGCATGCTCAGGAATATCAATTAGGTCAACTTGGTGGATACTGCTGTTCAAATATACATGCATACTTATACTGATTTTCTGTGTACTTGTTCTAACAATTATAAACATATAGATACTGATTTTTTTCACAGTATTGAACATTTCCTTACATGGTTTATTATTTATGTAAGTTATTGCTTCAAAAACTAAAATTTAGTTATGACGTACATAATCAGAATTTTTATGTTGTACTTATCAATTGATACCTTTTCATTCAAAACTGATGATCTCTATTTCTGGCAACATTTTTTGCATTAAAATCTATTTTGTCTAATATTAATATAGTCCTTCTAGCTTATTTTCAGTTAGTGTTAGTGTGGTATGCTTTTTCCATTATTTTACTTTGAATCTATTTCCTTCTTTAGATTTGAAGTGTGTTTCTTGCAGTCAACAGATAGATCATTTTGGTTTTTTGTTTTAATCTCATCTGACTTCTACCTTTAATTGGGGAAATTTGACCAATCACATCTAATGTTATTATTAACATGTGTGAATTCAATATCAATATATTGGTATTTGCTCTCTGTTTGCGTCACCTGTTTTTCTGTTTTTTGTAATTTTTCCTTTTTTTGCCTTCTGCTAGACTAATTGAATATCCATTATAATTATAATTTATTTCTTTTGTTGGCTTATTGGCTACAATTACTAATTTTATTATTTTAGCAATTTCTTTAAGGACTTTTATACCCTAATTTGTTATATTATAATTTCAAGAGATAATATACCACTTCACATATAAGAACTTTACTTCGTATATTTTGATTTTTCATCTTCTGAATTTTGGACCATTGATGTTACACATTTTATTTGTATATTTTCATAACACCAAGTTACATTGTTATATTTTTGCTTATTCCTCTATATTTAAAATGAATTTTAATATTAAGAAAAAATCTTGTGTATTTACCGCTGTATTTACCATCTCCTCTGCTCGTCACTCATATGGATAGAAATATATTCAATCTACTCTTAGGTTATCTTTGCCTAAAGATATTTCTTTAACATTTAATGCAGCTCAGGTCTGATAGTGATTACTTTTTTTTACCTTTTCTGGGTCCGAGAGTGTATTTTATCTTTGTTTCTGAAACATATTTTTGCTGAACATGTGTTTCTAGGTTGGCAGGCTGTTTTTTTTTCTTTTAGTAGTTGAAATAATTTGGTCTAGTCTCTTCTTTTTCATTGATTCCTACAATAATTTTACTGTAATATTGTTTTTCCCTGACTTGATGTCTCCCTTGCTTAGAGTTCAATAAACCTCCTGAATTTGTGAGTTAATCATGTTTTTCAGTTTTTAAAAATGTTTAAACATAGTTTTTCTTGTAACCACTTCCTATTTCTAATAAATGTCTAAAATATTCGGATATATATTTTTTGTAACCACTCCCTTTTCCTAGCTTTGTAAATATTAAGCTGATTGAAGTATTTCATAGTTCACTGATATCGTGGGGGATTTTTGTTTGTTTGTTTGCTTGTTTATTTGTTTTGAGGCAGAGTTTCACTCTTGTCGCCCCGGCTGGAGTGCAATGGCGCGATGTCGGCTCACCGCAACTTCTGCCTCCCAGGTTCAAGCAGTTCTGCTGCCTCAGCCTTCCGAGTAGCTGGAGCCTGCCACCATGGCCGGCTAAGTTTTTGTATTTTTAGTAGAGACGGGTTTTCACCATGTTGGCCAGGCTGGTCTCAAACTCCTGGCCTCAAGTAATCTGCCCGTCTCAGCCTCCCAAGGTGCTGGGATTACAAGTGTGAGCCAGGGCACCCAGCCGATATCCTGTTCATTTTATTCACCTGTTTTCCGTGTGTGTGTGTGTGTGTGTGTGTGTGTGTATGCGTATGTGTATTATTGCTATGGTGTAAAGTTCACTAATCTTTTCTTTGGAAATATATACTCTTCTATTAATTCCATCTATTGTATTCTTTATCAGACATATTGTATTCTTTATACTAGAAGTCTTTTTTTATATCTCCCACATCTCTCTAATTATTGAACCTATGGAATGAAGATATAATCATCTTTTTAATGTACTTGCCTACAAAATCCAACATCCAAGTAAGTTCTGTATTGGTTTCAACTGACTGATGTATTGCCTTATGAATTGTATTTTTCTGGTTTTTCTAGGCTAGATTCTTTTTATTGTTGTTGTTTGTTTTATTGTATGGCAGACATTATCAATATAATGTAGTTGTATGCTGATTATTTTTATATTTCTAAAAATGTTTCTTTAAAAATTACATATTTTCATTACTTGTAAATTATTTAAACCTATAGGTTATTGTTTTTAAGATTGATTGGGCAGGGCTGGAATAGTCCTCAAACTAGGGGAAATTATTCTTCAGTACTGAGTGCAAAAATAATGATCTTAGATTCTTTAATTGGGAAACAAGCTCTCTACTTGTTCCTAGCTACTCAAAAGAGAGGTGACAAACATTTTATATTAGTAATAATCGATTACTTTCAGTATCCTTTTCTTGTTAGGCTATATTTCCTATGGTTTATTTTTTAAATTACATTTTTTTCAGTTATATGTAATAAGAAAAATAACTGCCAGAAGTGGCAAAATCAATACAAAACTCAAATTAATCTCCTAATATCTGATAATATCAAAATCCATGACAGATTGCTATACCTGGACACAATAAATCTTGTGTTTGTTTGTTTGTTTTATTTTACACTATTGGCTAACAACAACATAAGATAATTATTACTTTAAAATCATCATTATGGAATAAATAGTTTCTGCTTTCTAAGAAAGACTTATTGTGGAAGTCTCTTTAATGGTTTGATTGAGTCTGTATTTAATCACAAAATTAATTATTGGTTCTTTTTTACCTGGTTGATTTAATAACACTGTCATTGACTATATTTAGAAATGGATGAAATTGATTAAGTTTAGTGATATTATGATATATTCTGTAATTGTTTAAAACATATGTTGAAGAGTAATTGATAACATGAGAAAGTGCTATTTTTTTTAAGTAAAAAGATAAGGCAGTGAAATGGGGTATTGTATCACCATGCATTGCCCAACATTCTTATTAATGCATGTTCCACATTTCAGTATCCCACATATAGATATATCATATTTACAGTAGTATCACAGTCAATAACCTTAATTGTCACTGGCTTGCTTATCAGAAAATACACACTTTGAGTAAACTTTCTCCTTATTTATTCTCTTTATGGGTTCCTTACACAAAGACAGCCATGAATGATTCCAGATGCTGACTGTCATTCTTCTGTTTTTCTGCCCTCATATTGGATACTTTTCTCTAACATGTTACGAGAGCATTCTCATAACAATGTTGATTCCCTAAAGATTGTTCATTTCTCTCTTGCATAAGCTTCAACTTTCTCAGAACCCATAACTTTCAGTGAGAATCGGGGAAGGTGGATTGAAAGAAGAGTAAGCCTGTCTCTCTGTACCTCTCAGGAGGCATTACAACTGATACCACAGAAATACCAAGGATCATTAGAGACTATTGTGAACAACTATGTACAAAACAAATTGGAACACCTAGAAGAAATGGATAAATTCCTGACATATACAGTCTACCAAGATTGAACCAAGAAGACATAGAAAACCTTAACAAACCAATTATGAATAAGGAGATTGAATCATTAATAAAAAGTCTCCTGTAAAAGAAAAGCCTAGGACCTGATGGCTTCACAAATTAATTTTACCAAACATTTCAAGAAGAGTTAATACCAAGTCTCAAATTCTTCCAGAAAATTGAAGAGGAAATAATTCTTCCAAATGCATTCTACAAGGCCATCATTACCCTGATGCCAAAACCAGACAAGGACAAAACAAAAATGGAAAACTATGGGCCAATGTCCTTAATGAACACAGATGCAAATATTTGCAACAACATGCGAGTAAACCATATGTTTGACATCTGGGCACACCATAGCCCAGTCAAGTTGACACATAAAGTTAATCATCACACTCTGTATCTGAAAACACTAGTGTTTCTTCTGGCACTTAACCAATGCTGTCCAGTTGGCCCTATTCTTCCCAAATCCCTAGTTAAGTACACTTTAGCCTCTCTCCTTCTGGATGGGTTTGCTGTAGTATAAATCCAGAGCATCAGAAAGATTTACATGTATGAACTACAGTTGCTAAGAGATGTCAAGTGCTCTTCAAAACAACTCATGGGTCTATGAAGATTAAGGGATATATAATAACAACTGGATCCTGATTCTTCTTTTATAGCAAAGAAGTTTCTCAGTTTTCAGTGGCTGTTAGAGGTCCAGTCATCCTGCCAAATGAATCCATACTCATACTCAAGGGAATTGTTTTGGTTAATAGAATAGTATACAAATACAACAAAATAAAACACGTGACATTAAGTGTGTAGCTGCCTATGTCTATGCCAAGTCTGGAAGATAATGTACTATTACAATGATGGAATAACTTTGATTTTCTTCTTTGCAGTGTTCTGTATCTTCTGCATTGTTTATGTGTAAAATTAGATAAGGTCTTTTCTGTATGCAGCATTCAAAGTCTAGACATATAAATATGTGTATCATAGTTCTTAAGCATGAACATTCTGAAGTTTCATGCCTGGGATCAAATTCTGGCTCCACCATTTAGAATCTATTTGATACCAGGAAAGTTTCTTACTGTCTCCAAACTCAGATGATTCCTCTATTAGGGGAGATCATTGTAAGCATTTCATACACATGTTGTGAGGATTAAATTTAAAAAAAAAGTAAGACACTCAGTACCTGGCAAAAAGTTATGACAAAGAAGAGGTTCATTATAATCACTACAATGATCAGTAATAAACTGATGTACAGCAATTAATGAGGCTGATGGTTCTCCAAGTATTTTGTATACATTAATATACTTAATCCTTCTTTTAAAACTATTAAAATAATTGGCAGTCTTATTCTTCCTATTTTACATTTGAAGAAACTGAGGCACATAGTGTTTGACTTGCTCAAGGTCATAAAAATAGAAGTTGGAACATACTGTTGTTTATATGTTAATTTTGTATCCTTCAGCTTTCCTGAATTTCACTGTTTCTATCTGCAAACAGTGAAAAATACAAAAGAAAAATTAAAAAGTAATCCCGTTTACAATAGCCACACATAAAATTAAATGCCTAGGAATAAACTTAACCAAAAAAGTAGTTTTCTAAAATAAGAACTATAAAACATAGATGTGGTTTGGCTATGTCCACTACCAAATTTCACCTAGAATTGTAGCTCCTCTACTTCCCATGTTTCATGGTAGGAACCCGGTGGGAGGTAATTGAATCATGGGGGCAAACTTTTTTCTGTGCTGTCCTCATGATATCTGAATAAGTCTCATGAGATTTGATGGTTTTATAAAGGGCAGTTCCCCTGAACACACTCTCTTGCTTGCCCCTGTAACACGTGCCTTTGCTTCTCTTTCACCTTCTGCCATGATTGTGAGGCCTTCCCAGCCATGTGGAACTGTGAGTGCATTAAACATATTTTTCTTTCTAAATTACCCAGTCTCAGGTATGTCTTTATTGGCAGCGTGAAAACAGACTAATAGAGCAAATAGGTACTGAGAGTGGGGTGCTGCTATAAAGACACCTGAAAATGTAGAAGCGACTTTGCAACTGGGTAACAGACAGAGATTCAACAGTTTGGAGGGCTCAGAAGAAGACAGGAAAATGTGGGAAAGTCTGGAACTTCCTAGAGACTTGGAGGGCTCAGAAGAAAGGAAGATGTGGGAAAGCTTGGAACTTCCTGCAGATTTGTTGAATAGCTTTGACCAAAATGCTGATAGTGATATGGGCAATAAAGTCTAGGCTGATGTGGTCTCAAATGGCGATGGAGAAATTCTTGGGAACTGGAGTAAAAGTTACTCTTGCTATGCAAAGGGACTGGCAGCATTTTGCCCCTGCCCTAGAGTTCTGTGGAACGTTGAACTTAAGAGATATTATTTAGGGTACCTGGCAGAAGAAATTTCTAAGTGGCAAAGTATTTTTAAAAAAAAAACAGTTTAAAAGTTTACAAAATTTACAGGCTGACAGTGCAGTATAAAAAAAGAAAAAAATCATTTTCTGGGGAATAATTCAAGCCTGCTGCAGAAATTTGCATAAGTAACGAGAAGCCAAATGTTAATCACCAAGACAATAGGGAAAATATCTTCAGGGCATGTCAGAGACCTTCATGGCAGCACCTCCCATCACAGGCCTCAGGCTTAGAAGGGAAATATAGTTTTCTGAGCCAGGCCCAGGGCCTTCCTGCTGTGTGCAGCCTAGGGAGTTTGTGCCGTCCATCCCAGCCACTCCAGCCATGGCTAAAAGTGGCCAACATGCAATCAGGCCATGGCTTCAAAGGGTAAGCCCCGAGCCTTGGCAGCTTCCATATGGTGTTGGTTCTGTGGATGTGCAGAAGACAAGAATTGAGAAGACAAGCATCTATCCTCTGCCTAGATTTCATAGGATGTATGCAAATGCCTGGATGTCCATGCGGGGTGTACTGCAGGAGTGAAGCTCTCATGGCGAACCCCTGCTAGGGCAGTACCAAACGAAAATGTGGGTTGGAGCCCCCCACACACAGATTCTCCACTGGGGAACTGCCTAGTGGAGCTATGAGAAGAGAGCCACCATCCTTCAGAATGCAGAATGGTAGCTCTTCCAACACCTTGTACCATGTGCGTGGGAAAGCCACAGTTACTCAATGCCAGCCTGTGAAAGCAGCCAGAAGGGTGGCTGTACCCTGGAAAGCCACAGGGGTGAAGCTGCCCAAGACCATGGGAACCCATTACTTGCATCAGCATGAGCTGGATGCGAGACATAGAGTCAAAGGAGATCATTTTGGAGCTTTAAGATTTGACTGCCCTACTGGATTTCAGATTTGCACGGGGCCTGTAGCCCCTTCATTTTGGCCATTTTTCTCATTTGGAATGAGTGTATTTATGCAGTATCTGTACCCCCCTTGTATCTAGGAAGTAACTAACTTGCTTTTGATTTAACAGGCTCATAGGCAGAAGGACTTGCCTTGTCTCAGATGAGAATTTGGACTGTGAACTTTTGAGTTAATGCTGAAATGAGTTAAGACATTGGGGGACTGTTGGGAAGGCATGACTGGTTTTGAAATGTGAGGACGTGGGATTTGGGAGGGGCCAAAAGTGGAATGATATGGTTTGGCTCTTTCCCAACCCAAATCTCATCTTGAATTTTAGCACCTGTAATCCCCACATGTCCTGAGAGGGACCTGGTGGGAGGTAATTGAATCATTGGAGTGTGTTTTTCCTGTGCTGTTCTCATGATAGTAAATAAGTCTATGAGATCTTATCATTTTATAAAGGGCAGTTCCCCTGCACATGCTCTCTTGCCTGCCACCATGTAAGACATGCCTTTGTTCCCCCTTTGCCTTCCAACATGATTGTTAGCCTCCTCAGCCATGTGGAACTGTGAGTCCATTAAACCTATATTTGTTTGTAAATCACCTAGTCTTGGATATTTCTTCATAGTAACATGAAAATGGACAAGTAGAAACATTGTTGGAAAAAATTGAAGAGGACACCAAAACATGGAAAGATACTCTATGTTCACAGATGGAAATAATCAATATTGCTAAAATGTTCATACTACTTAAAGAAATCTGTAGATTCAATGCAATGCCTATCAAAGTACCCATGACATTCTTCACAGAAATAAAATAAAAACTATCCTAAAATATACATGGAACCACAAAAGACCAGAAGTGCCAAAGCCATCATGAGCAAAAAGACAAAACTGCAGGAATCACGTTACCTGATTCATGTTATACTACAGAGCAATAGTAACCGAAACAGCATGGTAGTGGCAGAAAATAAAAAGCCACAGTCATACAGACCAAGGGAATAGAATGGAGAACCCAGAAACAAATCCATACATCTACAGTGAACTAAATTTTGACAAAGATGTCATGAATATACAATGGGGAAAGGACAGTTTCTTTAGTAAATGGTGCTGGGATAACTGGATATCTATATGCAGGAGAATGAAACTAGTCCCCTGTCTCTTGCCATATACAAATATCAAATCAAAATGGATTAGAGACAAATCTAAGACTTCAAACTATGAAACTAACCCAAAAAAATATTGGGGAAAGTCTCCAGGACTTTGGTGTGGGCAAATGTTTCCTGAGCAATACACTACAAGCACAGACAATCAAAACAAAAATTCATAAGTAGAATCACATCAAGTTTAAAAGCTTCTGTAAAGCAAAGATACAATAAACAAAGTGAAAAGACAACCCACAGAATGGAAGCAAATATTTGCAAACTACCCATCTCACAAGGGATTCATAACAAGAATATATGAGGAGTTCGAACAACTTTGTAGGAAAAAAATCTAATAATCCAATTACAAAGTAAGGAAAAGATCAGAATAGACATTTCTCAAAGAGAGACATACAAATGGCAAACAGTCATATGAAAAGGTACTCAACATCATTGATCATCAGATAAATGCAAATCAAACTACAATGAGATATTATCTCACCCCAGTTAAAATGGTTTTTATCCAAAAGACAGGGAATAACAAATGCTGGCAAGGTTGTGGAGAAAATGGAACCCTTATACATTGTTGGTAGAAATGTAAATTAGTACAACCACTATGAATAACAGCTTGAAGGTTTCTCAGAAAACTAAAAATAGAGCTACCCCATAATCCAACAATCCCACTACTATGTGCGTACTCAAAAGAAAGGAAATCAGTATGTCGAAGAGATAGCTGCACTTCCATGTTTGTTGCAGTATTGTTCATAACAGCCAAAATTTGGAAGCAATGTAAGTATCCATCAACAGATGAATGGACAAAGAAAATGTGGTTCATTTACACAACAGAGTATTATTCAGGCATAAGAAAGAATGAGATCCTGTTATTTGCAACAAAATGGATGGAACTGGTGATCATTATGTTAAGTGAAATAATCTAGGCAGAGAATGACAAACTTTGCCTGTTCCTACTTATTTTTGGGACTTAAAAAATTAAAACAATTGATCTCATGGAGATAGAAAGTAGAAGGATGGTTACCAGAGTCTGGGAAGGGTAATGCGGGAAGCGGGATGAGTGATGAGGGTTAATATGTACAAAAATAGAGTTAGAATGAATAAAATTTAGTATTTTATAACAGTAATAATTTTTCTACATTTTTAAGTAACTCAGAGTGCAACTGGATTGTTTGTAACAAAAAGAAAGGAAAAATGCTTGAGGTGATTAATTTCTCATTTACCGGGATGTGATTATTGCATATTGTGTATCTGTATCAAAATATCTCATGTACCCTATAAGTTTATACAGTTATTATGTACCCACAAAAATAAATATTTAAAAAATAAATAAGTAAGAAAAGGCTTCAGTAATGAACCTTTGTTATTCCAATCTTTAGAGATTGGGCAGTGAAGAATTTCCTAAAATGAAACTGTGACATTTCCAGTGAGTTAGGTGAAAAACTGAGACCATACAATAGCATCAGGTAACACATGACAATTCCATATTGAGAAAGAGAACATCATGTTTTGTAATGTTTGTAATGCTCCTAAGAACATAAAGGAAAAGTGAAAGTAGGTCAAGTCAGAGATTCTTTTCTTTTTAATTTTTTTATTATACTTTAAGTTCTAGCTTACATGTGCACACCGTGCAGGCTTGTTAATATGTATACATGTGCCATATTGTTGTGCTGCACCCAGTAACTCGTCATTTACATTAGGTATATCTCCTAATGCTATATCTCCCCCCTCCCCCCACCCCACAACAGACCCCGGTGTGTGATGTTCCCCTTCCTGTGTCCAAGTGTTCTCATTGTTCAATTGCCACCTATGAGTGAGAACATGCAGCGTTTGGTTTTTTGTCCTTGTGATAGTTTGCTGAGAATGATGGTTTCCAGCTTCATCCATGTCCCTACAAAGGACATGAACTCATCCTTTTTTAGGCTGCATAGTATTCCATGGTGTGTATGTGCCACATTTTCTTAATCCAGTTTATCATTGATGGACATTTGGGTTGGTTCCAAGTCTTTGCTATTGTGAATAGTGCCACAATGAACATACGTGTGCATGTGTCTTTATAGCAGCATGAGTTATAATCCTTTGGGTATATACCCAGTAATGGGATGGCTGGTTCAAATGGTATTTCTAGTTCTAGATCCTTGAGGAATCGCCACACTGACTTCCACAATAGTTGAACTAGTTTACGGTCCCACCAGCAGTGTAAAAGTGTTCCTATTTCTCCACATCCTCTCCAGTACCTGTTGTTTCCTGACTTTTTTATGATCGCCATTCTAACTGGTGTGAGATGGTATCTCACTGTGGTTTTGATTTGCATTTCTCTGATGACCAGTGATGATGAGCATTTTTTCATGTGTCTTTTGGCTGCATAAATGTCTTCTTTTGAGAAGTGTCTGTTCATATCCTTTGCCCACTTGTTGATGGGGTTGTTTGTTTTTTTCTTGTAAATTTGTTTGAGTTCTTTGTAGATTCTGGATTTTAACCCTTTGTCAGATGAGTAGATTGCAAAAATTTTATCCCATTCTGTACGTTGCCTGTTTACTCTTGATGGTAGTTTCTTTTGCTGTGTAGAAGCTCTTTAGTTTAATTAGATCCCATTTGTCAATTTTGGCTTTTGTTGCCATTGCTTTTGGTGTTTTAGACATGTAGAGATTCTTTTCTAACCTACCAACCAAGCAAAAACACACACAAAGAAGAAAATAAAAGAATTATTGCATATTTGGGCTTAGAAGCCCAATAGGAGTATCTTTGTTTTTTTTCTTTAACTTTATTTTAGGTTCGAGGTACATGTGTGGGTGTGTTGTGTCGGTAAATTGTTGGTCCTAGAGGTTTTGTGTGCAGATATTTTGTCACTTAGGTGATAAGTATAGCACCCCACAGGTAGTTTTTCAATCCAATAGAAGTATCTTTAAGAGAGAATGCAAGGTTTGAAAAAAATGGAGTCAGGCAGAGGAAATAAATTTCTATGTTTTGCTATGGATAAAGGTAGAAAGGTAAACATTTGGTTGGATTGGAATGTGGTGGGAAGGGATAAGTTTTTAGTTTTGAATTCCTTTATACCCTGTTTTATGCTGATATGAAACATGCAATTGAATGGAAGAAATCAATGATGTTTATCTAAAAATAATCAGTAGCTGATTTTAACATTTCACCCCCAAAAATTTATTGCCCTTTACAAAAACTTCCATTTCCCATTTTAAGCTTTGATATTACCTTACTTAGTTCTCAACACATATTGGACTTCAATATTTTTTAATATTATTATTTGGTTGTTATTACTTCTGGTATTGGATAATTTGCTCTTGAATTATTATATCTGTTTTCTTAAATATATCGTCTAGTAATTTTCCTCAGATATGAATTACATGTGCTAACCTTTATGAGACATGCTTTATCAAACAAACTTTTATTTTGCCCTTGGTTATTTGTTAGTTCATCAGGCTACAAAAGTTTGGGTTTTAAATAACTTCCTTTCAGAACAGTGAGCATATGTTGCTTCATCCATAGTTGTAATGAATTTTTTAATCCTTTCCAGTTTAAAAATATTATCATCATTCACCTATATGTTGTGTCTTGATTACTTAGTCCACTTAGTGCTTAGTTTAAACTTTTTTTTTTCATTTTTCCAATTGTGATTTCTTCTACTATCTTCTGTTTTTTTTGTATTTTTTTTCTGGAAGCTCCTATTATAAAAATATGTTGGAACTTCTGTACCCCCATATCAATGCCCCATATTCCTTGAGCTTTTTTTTTCTTACTTTTCATGGGTTGACTTTCACATTATAAATTATTAATAGGTTGAACTGTCTGTTGCAAATGGCAAGAAAATCACTCAAACTTTCTCAATCTAAAAGGGAATTTATGGGCTCATCTAGATGGAAAGTTAAGAGTAGTGCTGACTGCAGATTAACCTGATGCAGTTTCAAAATCCCACGTGTTGGTTCTTAGAGTCTCTTATCTCATCTAAGTTTTTCTGTGATGCCTTCCTCAGAAAATATTTCTCCTTTTCTCAAAAGGGCAGCAGTAGCAGTTCCCCAGTTCCCACTTCCCTAGACTCAGGAACTGAGAGAGGAAAGGTGGATTTTCAAAAGAAAGTAAAGATGTTGTTATCACAAGAAATGGACAGAGGGTAGGAATTCTGCTTTGAAAAATAACAAATAAATAACAAATAACTACAGAATGCACACCATAATTTGAAAGAATTCTTGAGCCTACTAATTTTTATATTTAGCTCTTCCCATTTTGTTATTTAGCTCTCATCACTACCTCTGATGTGGCAGAAGCTATCCTCTGGCTTAGAGGGCTTCCCTGTACTCCTAAATATGTCAGCCAGTCAGCCAGCTCTGTGTCTCTTTCCCTGTGTCTCACCCAACCCCCCTGCTTGGGAGTTGACAGCTCTACTACCCTGGTTGACATTGTTAACAAAATATTGATTTGCTTGTCAGATTCTGCAGTGACACTTCACACATTCACCCAAATGTTAACTTAGCTGGCAACTCTAGCAATTCATATTCATTATATTTTGCATTATTCTGTTTCTGCTCATTTGGAGTTATGGTTTCCTCTTTCGTTCAAATCTATGTATCTTTTCATATAAATATACCTTATTTTTTATATCTCTCACTCTTGGTTTGGAGCAATATGAAGAGGCTATAGTTCCATATACCAGTCTATCTTCACCTTTTGCTTCTATCCACAGCACTAAAAGAAACCCCATATTCTATTATCACCCATTCTGGCCACTATTACTCTCCAAAAAATACTGTGGATTTTCTTTTATAAAAATGAAACTTCTCTTCTTAAATACTTAGTGGTATGTATGTTACTAATTGTAAAACATTATTTTTCAGGATATCTTTCAGTTTATTGCCTCCTCTTACCAAGTTTGCTTCTTTACATACATGTGCTTTACTTCGAATATGGCTGTCATTTATATTGTAGGCTAAAATTAATTCTGTAGGAAGTTTGAAATTATAGTAAAGATCAATAAATGTTATTGTTAGATTTAAACTGATATGATTATGGGTTTTCAGGAAAGTAGTTTTACAACAAGGAACAATCATTTAGTTATAGAAACATAAATAATTGAATTTTGTATATTCTAACTTAATTATGTAAAGTATCTATGTATTAATAGTCATAGATGCCACAAAATAACTGCATGTAAATTGTTTTGGGAAAAGGGGAAATGTGTTTGTTCAATTGTTTTATAGCTGGCATTCTGTATTCTTCCTATGCTTGTTCATCTTTGGAATTCCAGAACAGCTCTTATATCTAGTATTGTGCTCCCACGGTAGGTGGGAATTCAGCTTATTCACAGGCTACATTTGTATGGTTTTTAAAGCTCAGCTGGTATAATTTACAGTGTTCTACAGAGTAGTTTCTCTCTTTATGTGTATAGTATATGAATAGAAGGTACTTGTGAGGGAGACTTAATAATCATACGAAATTACAAGCATAAGCAGCTCACAATACCACTGCAAGCAATTATAAAATTAACATACACTGACTAATCCACTTTGGCAAATCATCAAAGGTCAATAAATAAATAAATAATATATTGCACTATTTTAATGGAGGTAGAAAATTTTGCAAACGTCATTACTGCACTTACGTCCTTGTAGTTACAGTCACAACAACCAAAATATTTAATTATGGGAAATGTTTTAGATTAAGGCTATTAGATTCTCAAATAAGTTATTGACTCTTTTATTTACTGAAACTACTAGTTAATTCCAAATAAATACATTTCAGGAAGTAGTTTCTCCAAATCCCATGTGAAAAATAACTGAAGATTTAATTAACTGTAATTTCAATCTGGTGGTTAGGTAACAGGAGATTTCAAAGCAGAGCAAAGCCTTGGGTTCGTCTTCATGGCTTATTTACTCATTATAACTGGTATAAAACCATACCAAGTTTGCTTCCCATGAGTGAAATAATCACGATTACCTGATTTTTGTAGGAGGTAAGCATTTTTGCAATCCATTTTTCACCGGACAAATACGTTGTTCTTCTGTAAAAGACATGACAGTTTTTCAGTTATAAATGGCTCTTAACTGTCTTTTAACATTTTACTATTTTGGCCTTAGGAAATCAAATCTGTCTGTTGATAAATATAAGATTTTATAGGAATTATTTTTGAGAGCTTAGTAGTACCAAATTCCCATTTGCCCAACTGAGATCACCAGACTTTTACTTAGTTTGAACAAAGTTGAATAAGCCCAGCAGGGTGCTGGACTAGAATAACAGTACGAGAATATCTTATTAATGTATCAGACAAATGACTTCTTCTATGATAAAATAAGACACTCACATAAATTTTGCCATTTTGCCTTTGTCGTGCCATATATATAGGCAATGTAAAATGTGAACAATCTTATACCACTATTGTGATTACATGTCAGGAAACAGCTAGTTTTAATATCTTCTTCCGATCTTATTAACTAGAAGATTTTGGAAAAGACAACTTTAAAGTAGCAGCATAATAAAATATATACCTTCTAAACAGAAAGGATAAATGATGAGCAATGGAAGGCAACAAAATCAAGGAACTGAATAAAAACAGAATTTTCTGAAACCTATTGGGGAAAAAATACTGAGAAATAGAAGGAAGTACTGGTAAAATAACATGTGAGTATGGACAGTAATTCAGTTTGCTTGACAAACATCCTAGAGGAATGGATGAAAATGCTGAAGAATCTAAGTCCTTCTATGTGTTTACACAATTTAATGAAAATATATTATTCCTAGAGAAAATAGTAGCAGTACATTACTATCAAATATCATTTCATGAATGAAGAGCAAAGGAAAAAGAGAACAACCTGAACATCTTCAGAATATTTTCAGAACTTCTGTGGAAAAGAGATTAAAGACATAATAATCTAAAACCAATTAGTCCCTAACTAAAATGCATCTCTTTATTACGGGTTACTGAAAGACAATTATAGCTGATTTGACTATGAAATGGAACTCCTTGCAGGCTCTTTGAAATGTTTGTCAACACTTGAGAGTGAACTCCTCCCAAAAAACCATCTGCTTATAATTTACTTGAATTCCATTACCAGCAATTTGTACCGAATCTATACAAGAAGCGAAAGTATTTATGTGATCTTCCTAAGATATTGTTAACTAATATTTCTTAAACAAATAATCTTTTAATGATCACATAGCTTATTTTTATTGATGATATAGCTGTGCCTTTTTATCTAGAAAATCAGTATCATAGCACTATGGATTCGTATTATAAATTCATGCCATATTATGCAAAATGGTACATTATTTTCACTGTATGGTGCCCAGGTACATTTGAACTTTGTCAGCTGGTCCATTCTGAACCAGGATGACAATCCCCTTACCCATCTCATACTCTCTTAGCGTTTGTCTGGCATTTCCATATCTGTATTGACCAAGACCTTCATTGATGGCCATTCCTCAAAATTGATCATGAAGAAGGTCATCAGAGAAATGCAGATCAAAACCACAATGAGATACCATCTCATGCCAGTTAGAATGGCAATAATTAAAAAGTCAGGAAACAACAGATACTGGAGAGGATGTGGAGAAATAGGAATGCTTTTACACTGCTGGTGGGAGTATAGGTTAGTTCAACCATTGTGGAACACAGTGTAGTGATTCCTCAATGATCTAGAACTAGAAATACCATTTGACCCAGTGATCTTATTACTGGGTATATACCCAAAGGATTATAAATCATGCCACTATAAAGACACATGCACATGTATGTTTATTGTGGCACTATTCACAATAGCAAAGACTTGGAACCAACCCAAATATCCATGAAGAATACACTGGATAAAGAAAATGTGTCACATATACACCATGGAATACCATGCAGCTATAAAAAAGGATAAGTTAATGTCTTTTGCAGGGACATGGATGAAGCTGGAAACAATCATTCTCAGCAAAATATCACAAGGACAGAAAACCAAACACTGCATGTTCTCACTCATAAGTGGGAATTGAACAATGAGAACACATGGATACAGGGAGGGGAACATCACACACCAGGGCTTGTTAGGTGGTGGGGGACTGGGGGAGGGATAGCATTAGGGGAAATACCTAATGTAAATGACGAGTTGATGGGTGCAGCAAAAGAACATGGCACATGTATACCTATGTAACAAACCTGCATGTTGTGCACATGTACCCTAGAACTTAAAGTATAATAACAATAAAAAAAGATACAGGTGCTACCTTCTAGATGCATTTGGTAGTCTGCAAAGGAACATAGGTACATAAATGTGATATTGCAATACAATGAATTAAATCCATAAAGAACCTATTCAATCACATTATTTTATAAATTATTTTCTATTACTTTATCTCTTACTAGATCTTCCTTCTGTCATGTCCTCCATATTTCTATTTTTGTTTATCTCTTTTTCTTCCAGTAATATAGCTGTGGGAAGTGTTGCCATGCATTTAGAAACTGGGAGACAAGCATCTTTCCATAATGAAAATGGGATAAAAATATACTGGAAAGGTTGATTACAGCAAATAAGTATTTATAGCTGAAATAATGAATACATGTTGAAGACATAGAGGAGGAACCCTCCTCTATGCGCCCACAGGTGTTTCTTTCTGGTATCAGCTTTTCCTCAGTTATCGTCATTGCTAATGATGACAGAATATGAGATGGGTCATCTGGGATGTTGAGGTTCTGACAGTCAAACACTGCACCAAGAGATAGCTGCTGCATCTCTGGACCACTTGACCTGACTTTTTTCCATCCTCACTCAGCAACCTTGGCAAGACATTGAGCTCTTCTTCTAGCTTGAAAAGAAAAAAATCATACCAAAGCTATCTCACTTCTTTTTTTTCCTAAAGTCTATGAAACCATACAGAGAAATCAGATTGAACACGGTGCAACCTTGGGTAAATCTTCATTAAACTTCTATTTGTTCTCTCAAGTTCCTTCAGCCATAGGGTTTGTGCTCTCAACATCTCTCTCTGTTAAATGGCTAAGTTGTTTCTTCTTTCCCTTCCTTTTTAAATTAGTTTTTTTATCCAAATATTATCATAAAATAACAAATAGTACATTAATATAATAATGATAAAAATGTAGAAAAGATGTCATTTCATTGATGGCTTTGTAATACCAAATGATAAAATAATTCATTATCTACTCCAGATCCTTACAGGAGTAATCACAATAAACATATTGTATATTATTTCTAAATTGGCCACATAAAAACAACCATTTAGATGAACACATAATACACTTAAAATATATAATTAGGAACTTAGAATATCAATTGTTCTGCAGTTTTTAAATTATAAATGTAGACACACACCTAGGAATTCTTATAATATCAACTTATACAACTATATCATTAATTTAAATAGCTTCTTGGTGTATTTTTGTGTGGTATTAACATATGTGTGTGTCTGTGTGTTTAAATTGGTTACCTTCTAATGGACAGTGATAACATTTAGTCACTTTTCTGTCTACATGAAATTTTAGTGCCAACTTCTTGACTGGCTTATATCTATTAAAAACTCACCAATTACCTTTCTAATGTAGCCAATATTATTTTAAAATTAATTATGATAATTTACTATGTAACTTTCTCTATGTTAAAGAAGTGTCTTTAATTTTTATGGAATGGAATTGGGAAAAATATGGTTTACTGAATCAAAATGACAATAAACTAGAGACAGTGAAAGCATTGCTTTTTACCTGTACCAAAGTCAACTCACATTTACCTCCTAAGAGCATTGAGTTTGTTTGTATGGACATCTTTAAAATTTCTTTACTCTTTTCCTAATATTATATATCTTCGTCATTTTTTCCCATCAATCATTTGTCACTTGATTTGAATTTATAACCCACAAATTCACTTTTTTTGTTTTTTGGTTGAGACAGGGACATAGTATGTTGCCCAGGCTGGTCTTGAACTTCTGGGCTTAAGCAATCCTCACACTTTGACCTCACAAAACACTGAGATTGAACGCATAAGCTACTGTACCTGCTCCACTAGTTGAATTTTAAAAGTCTTAAAGGAAATAAAAATGAAAATGTATCCTCTATTTGTATTTTTCATGTAACAATAACTACATACATAAAATATTGCTAACAATGTTACATCAAATGTTAATAGTTGTTTAAAATTCCAACTGCAAGTGATAATTTATTATTTGATACTATATTTACCTCTATACTAACCAATACCAAGCAAGGCCAAAAATATATGGTTCTTAGGGCTCCCAGTTTAAGAAGGGCTTGGTAAATTAAATTATGATCAGAGGAGAAACTCTGGGATTAATAGACTTTAAAAATGTAAAATAAAACAAAATTATAAAAATTTTGTTCTTTAGCTTTAGAAATTGATTAATGTAAGTTTTAAAGTATTGGAAAATGGCCAGAGGCGTGTCTTTGTGCATACTCTTTTCCTTGTTAGACTGCCATCCCTCACCTTTTCCCTGTGATCTCTCATTCCTAACAGAGTTTAAAGCCCACTTTATAGCTTTCATTAACCTTCTCAAGCTTATCTAGGTGTCACTTGTTTTTCTATCCTACTACCCTATGCACATCATTGTATAGTACTTAGTCCATTGTATTTTAATGATGTTCTTATCTATCTCTCACATTACACCATTTAGAATATGGCTTATATCATGTACATTTCTATAATCTAATTGACATTTAATAAATGCTTACCTATTAAATTAGAAAAAAGTTTACATTTGTTCTGTGTGAGCTAAAGCAATTTGACAGCATTGAATAGAAACAATAAAAAAGTAAATTTTGACTTAATAGAAAACAACATTTAACAATTGTAGTTCATGATAGGAGAAGCCACTCTGAATGGTAATGAGTTCCAAATTACCATAGATATTCCACATACGAATAAATATGAGTAAGTCTGGAAAGGATTGATTCATCAGACAGAAGTGTGAAATTGATGCTCTCACTACTTACTTTCTCTTTAAAGGTCTAGCTCTTGATATACTAAAATCAATCTAAGTATACAATTTGTTCAAGTACATCTTGTATTAATTATAAAAGCAACTTATCAGTTAAATTGAAAGTCAGTTGGCTCCATTTTCTAGGCAAGGCGACTGAGGCATTAGCTGTATAAATGATATATTGGAGCTCAAAAACTTTTGGGGCAGAATGGGAAGGATGATCACTGTATTCAAAGTGCAGCATTCTTTCTTTTAGGCCACAGTCATTCAGCAGAAAGAATATAGAGAGATGACTGTATTCATGGGTGGACAGGTCATTCAAAGCCCTTGAACACAGGACAGCGCTTTTGGCACTAGAAATGAACATGCTGAATCCTCACAGGGACAGATGGATTTGATGACAGCAATACTGCATAAAGGCTTTTATTAATAGCCTTTATTTTTAGCCTAGCATATGCTATTCTTGTATAAATGTTTAATCGCTTTGGAAACTTACTAAGTATTTTTATCTCAGATAATATCTTGTTGGAAAAAATTCTAGTTAAATTATATATTGCTCTATAAAAGATCATAATGGTATAGTGACCTCTGTGTGTCCCAGATGAAAAAGTACTAGCTTGCATGTCAGCCTTAGTTTTCCTAATGCTATTATGGAGACTGTGGCTTATAATAGATAAGGTAGTAGAAAGGGAATTAAATCTGTAAATTTATCAATAAAATGTACATGAAATTAGATAACATATACTCAAAATAGACATAATAAAAATGCACTTGAAATACAAAATACTTCATTTCCGTTCGGCAAGCTTAACAAATCACCCAAGCTTCAGAATGTCATTTATACTCATGAAATTGATGACACCATTACATGGTAGCCCTGCAAAATCATATACAGTACTTCATGGCAACCCACAAAGTAAAAATTTCATATTATGGAGAATATAATTATCAAATATAAATTAAAATGAGCTTTAAACAACTAGAGATAATCATTTCAGATTGCATATCTCATATAATCTTTTACTTACCCTCTTTTGATGCCGTTTGTTTTTCTGAGCAAGTTTAATTGCAGAATGACCCAGTGATTATTTTTAAATACATCAAAAGAGAATTTTATTCAGTGAGCCAGTTTATGATTCTAGTTCTTTCTCTAATTAACTATAATCATTTCGTGTCACTTTTGCTCTTTTATATAATTTGGGCATTGAAAGAGATGACTCAATTGCATTCTGTCTTTATTATAAAAATATATACATTAAATACAATTATGTATATTAATATCTAGAAAACTTACATATTAAATATGATTAACAATGCTGTTTGTAAATTTTAAAATTCATAAAAGCTAAATATTCCATGGTGTAAATTGCAGATTACCCTCAAAATTCTTTTGACTTTTTTTTTTTAACTAAGCAATAAATGTAAAAGTCTTAATTGCACAACTTGGTGAATATTTACAAAGATTGAAAGACTATCTCCTACATAACAAACCCCCAGACAAAGAAACAGAACATTATCACCACCAGAAAATCCTCTCTTGTGCTGGCATGTGGTTATTTATCCTAAAATAATAGGTTGAAGAATAAATTAAAATATATTTGAATATGTAAAATAATAAAAGAAAATATGAAATCATTTTTTACCAAAATAGTAAATATTATGATAGATTAATAATAACAATCATAGTAAAGAAGGTGGAGTGTCTTTCACTTAGAATTTAGATGTGCATGTTTTGTATTAAGTTAATATCATGAAATCAATTGGATTGCTGATTTTAGCAACATTTCATGTTAAGAATTTTTATATTCACAAATACAATACAAATAAATTTAAAAGTAAAAAATTAAAAGGAACAGAGAGAAGAGAAAATTATATTTCTCATTAGTTTCTGTTTCAGCAGTCATGAGGATTCAACCATAAGTTGGGTACTCCCCATGAACTTGGGAGTTAGAAAAAATAATTTTGCACTGTATTTAAAAATTTAAAAATATGTCTTATAGAACTTGAATAACTTCCAGAGCAAGGCTATCAGTGCCTTAAGAATTTTAACAAATCAAATTGTAAATTTATATGTGTAGGGGAGGGGATAGAGTAATAATGTATATGAAAAAGGAGTTTATATGGCATATTTAATGTGTTCTTCATATGATTACAATACCATGAGTAAATAAAACTGAAAAAAACTCTAATCATTTAGTTTTCTAGGTAGCCTGTCTATGAGAAGAGAATGTGGTGGGCCAGTCTAGTGATCCACTTGATTGTGTTTTTCATTAAAAACTTATCAGGAGGCTGAGGCAGGAGAATCACTTCAACTTGGGAGGCGGAGGTTGCAGTGATCTGAGATTGCGCCATTGCACTACAGCCTGCGTGACAAGAGTGAGACTCTGTCTCAAAAACAAACAAACAAACAAAACCTTATATAAGTTTTTCCTAGGCTTATGCATTTACTTAATGAAATTTTTAAGCCTCACCACCAACACTCTCAAGATATTATTTATAAACATTTTTTAAAATGTAAACATTCAAGGATGATTGATAAACCTTGGACCAGCTTGATATCACAAAGTAAATGCCCTATTCTTGGACAATTTTGAGATACCTTTTAACATTCCAAAATTCCATCTGAAGTGCCTTAAATTTACATTCAAATTATGACTGCATAAAAAGCAGAGTGAAAGGAAGAAAATGAAAAATGAATGTTGTTTAAATACCCATACTATCCAAAGTGATCTACAGCTTCAATCCTATCCCCATCAAAATCCCAATGGTAGTTTTTACAGAAATAAAAACAAATCCTAAAATTCATATGGGATCACAAATCACCAAAGTGATTGTAGGAAAGAATAACAAAGATGGAGGCAGCACTCTTCCCAATTTCAAAATATATTAGAAACCTAGAGTGAGCAAAACAGTATGATACTAGCATAAATACAAATATATAGGCCAATGAAACAGAATAAGAGAGCCCAGAAATAAACCAACCCCATTTACTGTCAAATGATCTTTGACAAAGCTACTTGGAATATACAATGGGGAAAGACCATCACTTTAACAAATGGTGTTGGGAAAATTGGACATCCACATGGAAAATGAATAATTTGGACTCTTACCTTATAACATAACAAACAAATCAACTCAAAGTGGATTAAAACTTAAACATAGGATCTGAAGCTATAAAACTACTATAAGAAAACAGGGGAAAAGCTCCTTGATGTTTGTTTTAGGAATGAATGCTTAGCTATCATACGAAGAGCACAAGCGATAAAAGGAAAAATAGACAAGTATGGCTACATCAAACTAAAATGCTTCTGCACAGTGAAGGAACAATCAACAGAATGAAAAAAAAAACAAACTACAAAATGGGAGAAAATGTTTGCAAAGCATATATAAGGGACCTGATATAGTCCGTTCTCACACTGCTATAAAGAACTGCGTAAGACTGGGTAATTTATAAAGAGGCTTAATTGACTCATAGTTCCACATGGCTGGGGAGGCCTCAGGAAACTTAGACAATTGCGCCAGAAGGGGAAGAGGCACATCTTACATGGTGGCAGGTGAGGGAGAATTAGCAAGGGCAGGGAAATTTGCCTTTTAAAGCCATCAGATCTCACGAGAAGTCACTCATTATCATGAGAACAACATGGAGGAAATCGCCCCTATGATCCAATCACCTCCCATAGGGTTCCTCCCTTGACATGGTGGAGATTATGGGGATCACAATTCAAGATGAGATTTGGGTAGGGTCACAGAGCCAAACCATATCCCGGCTAAAATAAAAATATCCAAAATATGTAAAATACTCCTACAAATCAATATCAAAAACCAAAATCCAAAAAAAAAAAAAAAAAGCCTGGTTAAAAATGGGCAAAGTATTTAAACATTTCTCCAAAGAAGACATACAAATGGCCGACATGTATAGGACAATGTGCTCAACATCACTTGTCATGAAGGAAATGCCAACCTAACTAAAATGATATATTACCTCATACTTGCAGCACTTTGGGAGGCTGAGGAGGGGAGATCACGAGGTTGGGAGATTGAGACCATCCTGACTAACACGGTGAAACTCCGTCTCTACTAAAAATACAAAAAGTTAGCTGGGTATGGTGGTGGGCACCTGTAGTCCCAGCTACTCGGAAGGCTGAGGCAGGAAAATGTCGTGAACCCGGGAGGTGGAGCTTGCAGTGAGCCAAGATCATGCTACTGCATTCCAGCGTGGGTGACAGAGCAAGACTCCATCTCAAAAAAAAAAAAAAAATCAAAACATAAATAACAAATAAATAAATAAATAAATAGAAGAGTTGGTGAGGACGTGGAGAAAAGAGATCCCATATACATTGCTAGTGGGAATGCGAAATGGTATAGCTACTATGAAAAAGTAGTATGGACTTTCCCTCCAAAATTAAAAGTAGGACTACCATATGATCCACCATTCTCATTTCTAGGTATATTGCCAAAAGAATGGAAATCATCATCAAAAGAGATATTTGCATTCTTATGTTTATTGCAGCAGCATTCACAATAACCATGTTATGGAAACAACTCACATGTCCATGTTCAGAAGAAAGAATAAAGCAAATGTGATATATTCATACAATTGAATGTTATTTAGCCTTTACAAGAGGGAAATCCTGTCATTTGTAAAGCATAGATGAACCTGAAGGACATTATGCTAAATGGGTTAAGCCAGTCACAAAAGAACAATATTGCATAATTCCACTTTTATGAAGTATCTAAAATAGTCAAACTCACAGAAGCAGAGAATTTAATGGTGGTTGCCAGGGAATGAGAGGAGGGGGAAATTGGGAGTTGTTCAATGGATACAAAGTTTTTATTATAGAAGACGGGTAAGTTCTACAGATCTGCTGAACAACATTCTGCCTATAGTTAGCAATACTGTATTGTGCAACTTAGAATTTTGTTAATAAAGTTTCATGTTGAGTAACAAGGAAAATAAAAGAAAACAGGCACAAGAAAACTTTAAAGTGATAGATATGTCTGTTACCTCGACTATAGTTATGGTTTCATGGGTATATGCATATGTGCAAATTTATCAAATTGTATACATTAAATATATGCAGCTTTAAATACCAATTATGCCTTAATAAAATTGTTTAAAAAATTTTAAAAAGCAGAAAAACAATAGAAAAGACTATTTAAAATATAAGGCATATATCTAACACTATACCAATTATATTTTTAGTATAAATAATTTTTTAAGGTTAAAACAAAGGGCATGCAAAAGTACTAAAAATTATAGGAATCATGCCTTCTTGTCTAGGATACATAATATAAGAGGAAACGTCTTATATTATGATACCTCCAAGGTCAAAACGTCAGTAGGATCTTATAGTGAGAGTCAAAATAACTTAATTTCACATTAGGAAAGAAAGAAGAAACCTACTTACAGAATTGGAAAATAGTTGCTATATTAATTTGGGGATATCAACATTTCTTTATAATTCCTAATCATCAATGTTTTGGGATAATGACCAGGAATAAAATATCAGAGTCTGAAATACCAACAGCTGGAAAAGCAAAATAGAAGAAAAAGGGCTGTTTTCACTAGCCACTAAGATTTTTTAGAATGAAGTTTTTTATTTCCCCTAAGCCTCCTTTCCATTTACGCCTCCTTTCCATTAAGAATTGGTTAAGATTATTAACCAATTCTTCTACCTCTATTATTATTTTTATTTTATTTTATTATTAATATACTCTAAGTTTTAGGGTACATGTGCACAATGTGCAGGTTAGTTACATATGTATACATGTGCCATGCTGGTGTGCTGCACCCATTAACTCGTCATTTAGCATTAGGTATATCTCCTAATGCTATCCCTGCCCCCACCCCACAACAGTCCCCAGAGTGTGATGTTCCCCTTCCTGTGTCCATGTGTTCTCATTGTTCAATTCCCAACTATGAGTGAGAACATGCGGTGTTTGGTTTTTTGTCCTTGTGATAGTTTACTGAGAATGATGATTTCCAATTTCATCCATGTCCCTACAAAGGACATGAACTCATCATTTTTTATAGCTGCATAGTATTCCATGGTGTATATGTGCCACATTTTCTTAATCCAGTCTATCATTGTTGGACATTTTGGTTGGATCCAAGTCTTTGCTATTGTGAATAGTGCCGCAATAAACATACATGTGCATGTGTCTATATAGCAGCATGATTTATAGTCCTTTGGGTATATACCCAGTAATGGGATGGTTGGGTCAAATGTGATTTCTAGTTCTAGATCCCTGAGTAATCACCACACCAACTTCCACAATGGTTGAACTAGTTTACAGTCCCACCAACAGTGTAACAGTGTTCCTATTTCTCCACATCCTCTCCAGCACCTGTTGTTTCCTGACTTTTTAATGATCACCATTCTAACTGGTGTGAGATGGTATCTCATTGTGGTTTTGACTTGCATTTCTCTGATGGCCAGTGATGGTGAGCATTTTTTCATGTGTCTTTTGGCTGCATAAATGTCTTCTTTTGAGAAGTGTCTGTTCATATTCTTCGCCCACTTGTTGATGGGGTTGTTTGTTTTTTTCTTGTAAATTTGTTTGAGTTCATTGTAGATTCTGGATATTAGCCCTTTGTCAGATGAGTAGGTTGCAAAAATTTTCTCCCGTTTTGTAGGTTGCCTGTTCACTCTGATGGTAGTTTCTTTTGCTGTGCAGAAGCTCTTTAGTTTAATTAGATCCCATTTGTCAATTTTGGCTTTTGTTGCCATTGCTTTTGGTGTTTTAGACATGAAGTCCTTGCCCACGTGTATGTCCTGAATGGTAATGCCTAGGTTTTCTTCTAGGGTTTTTATGGTTTTAGGTCTAACATGTAAGTCTTTAATCCATCTTGAATTAATTTTTGTATAAGGTGTAAGGAAGGGATCCAGTTTCAGCTTCCTACATATGGCTAGCCAGTTTTCCCAGCACCATTTATTAAATAGGGAATCCTTTCCCCATTGCTTGTTTTTCTCAGGTTTGTCAAAGATCAGATAGTTGTAGATAAGTGGCGTTATTTCTGAGGGCTCTGTTCTGTTTCATTGATCTATATCTCTGTTTTGGTACCAGTACCATGCTGTTTTGGTTACTGTAGCCTTGTAGTATAGTTTGAAGTCAGGTAGCATGATGCCTCCAGCTTTGTTCTTTTGGATTAGGATTGACTGGGTGATGCGGGCTCTTTTTTGGTTCCATATGAACTTTAAAGTAGTTTTTTCCAATTTAAACAACATTTTAAAATAGTTTTAAAATTTCAGAAGATGTATTTTTCATCAGTACTTTAATTTTATGTACAATATTATTTATTTCTCATTATCATTATTATTATGGTATGTACTTGGAGTTTTGTTTGTTCAAAGGAAGTTTCAGTTAATCATTTAAAAAAATCAGCAATTCCATTTCAAGAAACATAAACTGATCTTTTGTAGCTTTGAAAATTTTCAAAATAAAAATTTGGGGACAACACTCCAAGGTGACTTATAGTGTAATATGACCAATTCCTCCTCTGGCAGCAGCTGCCCAGATAGAAATATTAGAGTGAGTCTAGAGATGCTCCATCTCTTTCTTATGGGGACAAGTGAGGAACATGCTTTTCCTTGCTTGTCCACATAATGTTTTAAGGTAGACTGTAACATTTGTTGGAAATAAAGTTCAGTTGTAGAGTTCAGAATCCAGAGTTGGAAGTGGGCTTAGAGTCATATACTTCAGTAGTTCCAGATTCTTGGATTTTATGGACCAATGTAAATTTAAAAGATACACACACAGTGGGAGAGAAAGAGAGAGAGAGAAAGACAGAATAAAACAAAACAAAAGATGGGAAACTGACAAAAGTTTGCTAACTTTGTCTACTAATGACTGACATACAAAATTAAAAACCCTGTCTATCATTCCATCTATTATCATACTTACATCAAAGAAAAAAGAAAATCTATGTCAAGAAAAATATCAATCTATTATCTAAGAGTAAAGTGTTTTAAATATTGGCTACATTTAACCATATAAATATACACCTTGTTCTTCCTGCCTTCCTTAGTTGACAAATAAAAATTGTGTGGTTACAGTGCAAAAAAAGAAAGAAAGAAACATGAGTTGAGTGCCTGCTAATACATGCCAAGTATGGTGTTAGTCACAGAGATGGGGTGGTTGTTAGGGGAGCAGCCGACTGCGAAAGAAGAATTGAACACACCACTCCACTAGACTTACAATCTAGTGATACATGCACACAAGCACATATATACAAATGCATAATGTTTTCATTTAAAAAGTAAGATAATTTAAATACTGGACTCATATAACAAAGTATATTGCGACTGTATAGGATCAAATATAACATGAAGCAAATTGCCATTTTTTAAAAACTTTACATTTAGTGTATTTATCTAGGGCAGGGATATACCTGACAAAATGATCATTAATGTTGACAATTACCTGTTTCACTGCATGAATTTTCCTGTACATCTTCTTGTTCTAATTAGAGTTTTAAGATAGGTTCTAAAAACCTGCATTTTTTTTTTGTTAACTTGTTTGATTAAGCACTTGTTTAACTGTCATGTATCTATGGAACATACATATTTGGGGTTACAATTTTAAGAAATTCCTTGTTTGATAAGCTATAACTAGAGTTGTGAGTTGCATATTACCATTAATATTCACAAAAAATTGTGGAAGAGTAGTAATATTGATATTATTTTTCTTGTTATTTACAGTATGTGGGAGATTTATTTATGTGCAGAACTAAATACCTAAATTTCTCTATAATTCAGAATAATAAGTATGATGACAACTAGACTATTTTAATATATATTTAGCATAATATACATATAAAATAATATACATATACTTGTGAATCTTACTGTGCTACTGAAGCTAAGTGGAATTAAAAAATATTCACCCATTCAAATACTACATTAAAAAAGGGGAAAAAAGGACATTTGGCTAGGCAATATCAGAATGACACAAAGGGAGAAATATAATAAGGACAAATAATAATGAGTATATTTTTAAGAAAAAGGAATAATACTCTTTTGCAATCAGGCATAATATTCCCATACACTGAAAGAATGCAGCCTTAGAAACAGGCTATCAATTCAAAGGTTTAGAGTGACAATTTTGCCATTTAGAAGTAAGCATAATAATATTCCTGCCTTGATCACTTATGGTGGTTATTAAAATAAAATGAAATAATTTTATATGAAATAACACATTGTAATATATAACAGTGAAAATAGGAGGATTTTGTAGTAATTAAAAACATTTTTTCCTTTCTCAAACACCATACTTCACACACACACACACAGAATCCTTTAAAGAACCACAGTTATATTTTAAGTAAGAAAATAATTAATTTTAATTTTGTTGTTACTACCAGGATTATAGACAGTCACTAACTGAAAAATCTTCAACTACTTTATTTGTCCATTGGGGCTGCTATAACACCATAGACTGGGTGACTTATAAAAATCAGAAATTTTTTTCTCATAGTTCTGGAGGCTGAAAGCCCAAGATCAAAGTGCCAGTAGTTTCTGTGTCCAGCGAAGGTGTATTTTTTGGTTCATAGACATCTTTTTTCTGTAACCTCACATGGCAGAAGGGGCAAGAGAGTTCTCTGAGGCCTCTTTTATAACAGCACTAATCCCATTCAGGAGGGCTCTACCTAATTAGCTCCTAAATGCCTCATTTCCTAATTCCATCACATTAGGGATTACGTTTTTATGTATGAATTTTGGGTAGAAAGCATTCAGTATGTGGCAGTTACTCCAGGTATATTACTTCCTGAAGAACACAAGGCATTCCCCAGGAAAAGACTTCCTGGGTTCCATGAGTTTACTTTCTTACATCTGTTAAGTCTTTACTAAAATATCAACATCTCTGTAAGATCTTTTTGGACTCCTCTATGTAATGCCATAAAAAACTACATACTTTGTAGCATTTTCTGTCCTCTAGCAATTTCATTAGTCACCACCTGACATTGATTTTACTTACTTTTATGTTTATTTTCTGTCCTTCTTCCTAAAAATAAGCTATAATTCAGCAGGAATTTTCATTTGTTTTTTTTTGACTTTTTTAGCAGCACCTATAACAATAAACGACATAGAATAGTTGTTAAATAAATATGTGTTGAATGAATGAATAATAACATTATATATTAAACTATGAAACTATACCAATGCAGAAGGTACAGTATTTTAAAATATAGACATCATTTGATTCAAAGTAGAGACATTTTACTGTCTTTGATAAACTGTTTCAATTCATATATAAATTCAAAGATAGAGGTGGAGTATAGGAAAGGCAGAGATGCAGAGATGCATAAAAATAGTGTTCAGACCTTCACGTCTGAACAAGATTGACTTACAGTGATTAAATTTACACTCCTTCCTGAAGCAACCATAAAACAGACAAAATAAATAAAATAATGGGTTGCAAGACACTGCACATCAGGCAACAAAACAGTGATCCCCAAGAGACAGGAAATAAATGAGGTTAAATCTTACAGTTGCCAAGATAATTGCTTCCTGAGAATTTTCAGACCTCAGCATTAGTAAAGGAAGCCCAATCAGAGCCTAGAAGATACCTTGACTTCAGGAGACAAGACTGAGCATCCATGGTGGCAAAGACTGCTGGAGCATCCAGGGAAGAGCACCAAACAAAAAAGTTTCATAGATAAACTTTTTAGGGACTGGTAGAACGAATCCCTCTAGTATTCACTGGAGTACTCATCAGTACATGAGTGTATGGAAAATACAGGGAAAAACAATAGTATGAATTCTCATGAAGCAAACACTGATAGAACTGCAAAAAATAGACAAATTCAGAATTATAGCAGGAAATTTTAATATCTCTTTTTCAATAAATGATGAATCATTTAAGGACAAGATCAGGAAGGAAATTCTGAAACCAACCAACTTTGACTAAATGACATCTATAAACACTACACCCAAAAACAACATAATATATATTTTTCAACAAAATTTATCAAGTTTTAGCGATAACAATCAGAAAAAAATACTTGATAATGATAGCCCAAATGTCAGAAGGGGAGAAAGTATACTGTTGTAAGCTTCTTACACAAGAAATAGAATGGTATAATTTAGCTTGAAGGTAGACTGTAATAAGTTAAAGAGGTATACTATAAACAATTAAGCAGCAAAGTAGAATAAAGTAATATTTGGTGTTAATAAATATGTTAATTTCCTTGATTATGATGATGGGTTCAAAGGTGTTACACATATGTCAAAATATATCAGATTGTATGATTTAATTGTGTACATTTTACTGTGTCTTTTTATGCCTCAAGAAATTTTTAACATTTTTACCTTTAAGAACTTACATGTCTATTGGAATAATAAATCTTTTTATATCTACACTTCTTCTTGCTTCAAAGTTAGTTTAGCCAGAGATCTTTCTTCTACTTTTCACACTCTAAATTACTAGACCTAAAGGCATGTCAACTGAGTAGATTCTAGAAATTTTTGTTTGGAAGAAGAGAATTTTCTGGACTTATTCTCAAAGGCCTTTGAAAAGGAAAAGACTTATGCTGTGAATGAATTTTGAACTTACAAACCTTCAAGCATTAAACTAAACTAAAATAAAACAATGAGTCAACTTGCCTTTCTATGTGACAGAAAAGTAAGTCTGAAAGTTAGTACTTTAGAATCTTCTTTACCAAGAAGAATTGCACTTGCTGAGGGAATTATTTCCCTTAATTATTTCTTCAAAGAGAAATTTATGTGCCAGTTAGTAGCTACCACCTAATTAATATACATGCATGCATACATATATAGTTATATACAGTATATGCATATAGGTTGTGTATGTGTTTGTGTGTATATGTATTTTGCTTTCATACCTGTCTATCTGTCTATCTATATCTATCTATCTATCTATCTATCTATCTATCTATCTATCTATCTATCTATCTTTGTGTATACATTTAAAACTAAAGAATTGAGAACTAAATGATTGTCCCAAGCTTGTCCTATCTCCCTTCTTGGGATAAACTGAGAAGTGGAAAATAGTGCCAATAGTGGCTTGTGCAATGAAACATACTTTTCACCAGCTGCTGGGAGTGTTGCCCACTGATGGTTTATAGCTGAGTGCTTCTTCCAGAGTTACTCTCTGTCAAAGGAAGCTACCTTCTAAAAGGTTATACTACCTGGGATAGACCATGTCAAATGACCTATTAATTTGATAAGTCTGGGCACCTTGTCTCCATTAGGTGCTTCTTTGAGGGCCATTTCATCCAAACTTCATAACGTATAAGATCCTGTAAGGCCAAAGTTTGAACTACATTGCACTGAAATCTCCTCCTTTAATTTTTTATGTTCTCCTTGTTTCTTACAGGAGTTGATCATGAGATTACTCCTCAATAAACTTCTTGTAGGAAAACGCGTTTATCTCGCCATATGTTTGACAGGACCAACAGAAGAAAATGCTCTGATTCATTATCTGTTAAATTATCTTCATCTGTTAGTATTCTTTAAATTTTAGGAATTATAACTTTAATTTCTTTTTTTTTTAAATTATATCAGTGTTCTTTTTTTATTATACTTTAAGTTTTAGGGTACATGTGCACAACGTGCAGGTTTGTTACATATGTATACATGTGCCAATTTGGTGTACTGCACCCATTAACTCGTCATTTAACATTAAGTATATCTCCTAATGCTATCCCTGCCCTCTCCCCCCACCCCACAACAGGCCTCCGTGTGTGATGTTCCCCTTCCTGTGTTCATGTATTCTCATTGTTTAATTCCCACCTATGAGTGAGAACATGTGGTGTTTGGTTTCTTGTCCTTGTGATAGTTTGCTGAGAATGATGGTTTCCAGCTTCATCCATGTCTCTACAAAGGACATGAACTCATCATTTTTTATGGCTGCATAGTATTTCATGGTGTATATGTGCCACATTTTCTTAATCCAGTCTATCATTGATGGACATTTGGGTTGGTTCCAAGTCTTTGCTATTGTGAATAGTGCTGCAATAAACATACGTGTGCATGTGCCTTTATAGCAGCATGTTCTATAATCCTTTGGGCATATACCCAGTAATGGGATGGCTGGGTCAAATGGTATTTCTAGTTCTAGATCCCTGAGGAATTGCCACACTGTCTTCCACAATGGTTGAACGAGTTTACAGTCCCACCAACAGTGTAAAAGTGTTCCCATTTCTCCACATCCTCTGCAGCACCTGTTGTTTCCTGACTTTTTAATGATCACCATTCTAACTGGTGTGAGATGGTATCTCATTGTGGTTTTGACTTGCATTTCTCTGATGGCCAGTGATGATAAGCATTTTTCATGTGTTTTTTGGCTGCATAAATGTCTTCTTTTGAGAAGTGTCTGTTCATATCCTTTGCCCACTTTTTGATGGGGTTGTTTGTTTTTTACTTGTAAATTTGTTTGAATTCATTGTAGATTCTGGATATTAGCCCTTTGTCAGATGAATAGGTTGCGAAAATTTTCTCCCATTTTGTAGGTTGCCTGTTCACTCTGATGGTAGTTTCTTTTGCTGTGCAGAAGCTCTTTAGTTTAATTAGATCCCATTTGTCAATTTTGGCTTTTGTTGCCATTGCTTTTGGTGTTTTAGACATGAAGTCCTTGCCCACACCTATGTCCTGAATGGTATTGCCTAGGTTTTCTTCTAGGGTTTTTATGGTTTTAGGTCTAACATGTAAGTCTTTAATCCATCTTGAATTAATTTTTGTATAAGGTGTAAGGAAGGGATCCAGTTTCAGCTTTCTACATATGGCTAGCCAGTTTTCCCAGCACCATTTATTAAATAGGGAATCCTTTCCCCATTGCTTGTTTTTCTCAGGTTTGTCAAAGATCAGACAGTTGTAGATATGCAGCATTATTTCTGAGGGCTCTGTTCTGTTCCATTGATCTATATCTCTGTTTTGGTACCAGTACCATGCTGTTTTGGTTACTGTAGCCTTGTAGTATAGTTTGAAGTCAGGTAACGTGATGCCTCCAGCTTTGTTCTTTTGGATTAGGATTGACTTGGCAATGCGGGCTCTTTTTTGGTTCCATATGAACTTTAAAGTAGTTTTTCCAATTCTGTGAAGAAAGTCATTGGTAGCTTGATGGGGATGGCATTGAATCTATAAATTACCTTAGTGAGTATGGCCATTTTCACGACATTGATTCTTCCTACCCATGAGCATGGGATGTTCTTCCATTTGTTTATATCCTCTTTTATTTCATTGAGCAGTGGTTTGTAGTTCTCCTTGAAGAGGTCCTTCACATCCCTTGTAAGTTGGATTCCTAGGTATTTTATTCTCTTTGAAGCAGTTGTGAATGGGAGTTCACTCATGATTTGGCTCTCTGTTTGTCTGTTATTGGTGTATAAGAATGCTTGTGATTTTTGTACATTGATTTTATGTCCTGAGACTTTGCTTAAGTTGTGTATCAGCTTAAGGAGATTTTGGGCTGAGACTATGGGGTTTTCTGGATATACAATCATGTCATCTGCAAACAGGGACAATTTGACTTCCTCTTTTCCTAATTGAATACCGTTTATTTCCTTCTCCTGCCTGATTGCCCTGGCCAGAACTTCCAACAATATGTTGAATAGGTGTGGTGAGAGAGGGCATCCCTGTCTTGTGCCAGTTTTCAAAGGGAATGCTTCCAGTTTTTGCCCATTCTGTATGATATTGGCTGTGGGTTTGTCATAGATAGCTTTTATTATTTTGAGATACGTCCCATCAATACCTAATTTATTGAGAGTTTTTAGCATGAAGGGTTGTTGAATTTTGTCAAAGGCCTTTTCTGCATCTATCGAGATAATCATGTGGTATTCGTCGTTGGTTCTGTTTATATGGTGGATTACATTTATTGATTTGCATGTGTTGAACCAGGCTTGCATCCCAGGGATGAAGCCCAGTTGATCATGGTGGATAAGCTTTTTGATGTGCTGCTGGATTCAGTTTGCCAGTATTTTATTGAGGATTTTTGCATCAATGTTCATCAGGGATAATGGTCTGAAATTCTCTTTTTTTGTTGTGTCTCTGCCCAGCTTTGGTATTAGGATGATGCTGCCCTCATAAAATGAGTTAGGGAGGATTCCCTCTTTTTCTATTGATTGGAATAGTTTCAGAAGGAATGGTACCAACTCCTCCTTGTACCTCTGGTAGAATTCAGCTGTGAATCCATCTGGTCCTGGACTTTTTTGGGTTGGTAAGCTGTTAATTATTGCATCAGTTTCAGAACCTGTTATTGGTCTATTCTGAGATTCAATTTCTTCCTGGTTTAGTCTTGGGAGGGTGTATGTGTCGAGGATTTTATCCATTTCTTCTAGATTTTCTAGTTTATTTGCGTAGAGTTGTTTATAGTATTCTGTGATGGTAGTTTGTATTTCTGTGGGATCAGTGGTGATATCCCCTTTATCATTTTTTATTGCGTCTATTTGATTCTTCTCTCTTTTCTTCTTTATTAGTCTAGCTAGCGGTCTATCAATTTTGTTGATCGTTTCAAAAAACCAGCTCCTGGATTCATTGATTTTTTTGAAGGGTTTTTTGTGTCTCTATTTCCTTCAGTTCTGCTCTGATCTTAGTTATTTCTTGCCTTCTGCTAGCTTTTGAATGTATTTGCTCTTGTTTCTCTAGTTCTTTTAATTGTGATATTAGGGTGTCAATTTTAGATCTTTCCTGCTTTCTCTTGTGGGCATTTAGTGCCATAAATTTCCCCCTACACGCTGCTTTGAATGTGTCCCAGAGATTCTGGTATGTTGTGTCTTTGTTCTCGTTGGTTTCAAAGAACGTCTTTATTTCTGCCTTCATTTTGTTATGTAGCCAGTAGTCATTCAGGAGCAGGTTGTTCAGTTTCCATGTAGTTGAGTGGTTTTGAGTTCGTTTCTTAATCCTGAGCTCTAGTTTGATTTCACTGTGGTCTGAGAGACAGTTTGTTATAATTTCTGTTCTTTTACGTTTGCTGAGGAGTGCTTTACTTCCAACTGTGTGGTCAGTTTTGGAATAAGTGCGGTGTGGTGCTGAGAAGAATGTATATTCTGTTGATTTGGGGTGGAGAGTTCTGTAGATGTCTATTAGGTCCACTTGGTGCAGAGCTGAGTTCAATTCCTGGATATCCTTGTTAACTTTCTGTTTTGTTGATCTGTCTAATGTTGACAGTGGGGTGTTAAAGTCTCCCATTATTATTGTGTGGGAGTCTAAGTCTCTTTGTAGGTGTCTAAGGACTTGCTTTATGAATCTGGGTGCTCCTGTATTGGTTGCATGTATATTTAGGATAGTTAGCTCTTCTTGTTGAATTGATCCCTTTACCATTATGTAATGGCCTTGTCTCTTTTGATCTTTGTTGGTTTAAAGTCTGTTTTATCTGACACTAGGATTGCAACCCCTGCCTTTGTTTCCATTTGCTTGGTAGATCTTCCTCCATCCCTTTATTTTGAGCCTATTATGTGTCTCTGCATGTGAGATGGGTGTCCTGAATACAGCACACTGATGGGTCTTGACTCTTTATCCAATTTGCCAGTCTGTGTCTTTTAACTGGAGCATTTAGCCCATTTACATTTAAGGTTAATATTGTTATGTGTGAATTTGATCTTATCATTATGTTGTTAGCTGGTTATTTTGCTTGTTAGTTGATGCAGTTTCTTCCTAGTCTCGATGGTCTTTACAATTTGGCATGTTTTTGCAGTGGCTGGTACCAGTTGTTCCTTTCCATGTTTAGTGCTTCCTTCAGGAGCTCTTTTAGGGCAGGCCTGCTGGTGACACAATCTCTCAGCATTTGCTTGTCTGTAAAGGATTTTATTTCTCCTTCACTTATGAAGCTTAGTTTGGCTGGATATGAAATTCTGGGTTGAAAATTCTTTTCTTTAAGAATGTTGAATATTGGCCCCCACTCTCTTCTGGCTTTTAGAGTTTCTGCTGAGAGATCCGCTGTTAGTCTGATGGGCTTCCTTTTGTGGGTAACCCGACCTTTCTCTCTGGCTGCCCTTAACGTTTTTTCCTTCATTTCAACTTTGGTGAATCTGACAATTATGTGTTTTGGAGTTGCTCTTCTCGAGGAGTATCTTTGTGGCGTTCTCTGTATTTCCTGAATTTGAATGTTGGCCTGCCTTGCTAGATTGGGGAAGTTCTCCTGCATAATATCCTGCAGAGTGTTTTCCAACTTGGTTCCATTCTCCCTGTCACTTTCAGGTACACCAATCAGATGTAGATTTGGTCTTTTCACATAGTTCCATATTTCTTGGAGGCTTTGTTCATTTCCTTTTATTCTTTTTTCTCTAAACTTCTCTTCTCACTCCATTTCATTCATTTCATCTTCCATCACTGATACCCTTTCTTCCAGTTGATCGAATCGGCTACTGAGGCTTGTGCATTTGTCAGGTAGTTCTCGTGCCATGGTTTTCAGCTCCATTAGGTCCTTTAAGGACTTCTCTGCATTGATTATTTCAGTTAGCCATTTGTCTAATTTTTTTCAAGGTTTTTAACTTCTTTGCCATGGGTTCGAACTTCCTCCTTTAGCTCGGAGTAGTTTGATCGTCTGAAGCCTTCTTCTCTCAACTCGACAAAGTCATTCTCCGTCCTGCTTTGTTCTGTTGCTGGTGAGGAACTGCGTTCCTTTGGAAGAGGAGAGGCACTCTGCTTTTTAGAGTTTCCAGTTTTTCTGCTCTGTATTTTCCCCATCTTTGTGGTTTTATCTACCTTTGGTCTTTGATGATGGTGATGTACAGATGGGGTTTTGGTGTGGATGTCCTTTCTGTTTGTTAGTTTTCCTTCTAACAGTCAGGACTGTCAGCTGCAGGTCTGTTGGAGTTTGCTGGATGTCCACTCCAGACACTGTTTGCCTCGGTATCAGCAACGGAGGCTGCAGAACAGCGGATATTGGTGAGCAGCAAATGTTGCTGCCTGATTGTTCCTCTGGAAGTTTTGTCTCAGAGGAGTACCCGGCCATGTGAGGTGTCAGTCTGCTCCTACTGGGGGGAGCCTCCCAGTTCGGCTACTCGGGGGTCAGGGACCCACTTGAGGAGGCAGTCTGTCCGTTCTCAGATCTCCAGCTGCGTGCTGGGAGAACCACTACTCTCTTCAAAGCTGTCAGACGGGACATTTAAGTCTGCAGAGGATTCTGCTGCCTTTTGTTTGGCTATGCCCTGCCCCCAGAGCTGGAGTCTACAGAGGCAGGCAGGCAGGCCTCCTTGCGCTGCAGTGGGCTCCACCCAGTTTGAGCTTCCTGGCCGCTTTGTTTACCTACTCAAGCCTGGGCAATGGCGGGCGCCCCTCCCCTAGCCTCACTGTCACCTTGCAGTTTGATCTCAGACTGCTGTGCTAGCAATGAGCGAGGCTCCATGGGCATAGGACCCTCCGAGCCAGGCGCAGGATATAATCTCCTGGTGTGCCGTTTGCTAAGACCATTGGAAAAGCACAGTGTTAGGGTGGGAGTGACCCGATTTTCCAAGTGCTGTCTGTCACCCCTTTCTTTGACTAGGAAAGGGAATTCCCTGACCCCTTGCGTTTCCCGGGTGAGGCGATGCCTCACCCTGCTTCCTCTCACACTCATGAGCTGCACCCATTGTTCTGCACCCACTTTCTGACACTCCCCAGTGAGATGAACCCAGTACCTCAGCTGGAAATGCAGAAATCACCCATCTTCTGCCTCGCTCATGCTGGGAGCTGTAGACTGGAGCTGTTCCTATTCGGCCATCTTCTATACCAGTCTATAACTTTAATTTCTAAAAGATATTTTTTATTATCCTATCACTTTTCACAATCACTTATTCTTAAGTTGTTAATTTCCACTTGTGTTTACCTGAGAATTTTCTGGACTTAACTCTCAAAGGCCTTTAAAAACGAAAAGACTTATGCTGTGAATAACCCCACCTTCCAAGTTTCCTTACTTTCTCTTGACCATAACTGAGCATATAAAAGAAACTTTTGTTGCATTGTATGAAATATTTTGTGGTGGTGTCTACAAATCTGTTCAGAGATATTGCAAAAAGCAAACATCTTTAAGAGATTAACGATTTTAATATGTGAGAAAATGTATAAATGCTATAACACTAAAGAAATTATTAATAAGACTTTTTGCATATAAATATACATTTATGTAAATAATATAATAACAGTTGTGTCCTTCAAGAAAAGAATGTGCCCAAAGATTTGTATTTTAATATTGCTTAAAATATTTTTTAAATTATAACTTTTTATAATTTTACGTTTTAAAATAACTCAGTTTTAAAATTTAATAGTTTTTAAAAACTATTAAATTTTTGCATTTTTTCTAAAAGTATTTGATTCAAAGGTTTAAATATCTCCATTTCCTCTAGTTATATTGTTAGAATTATAATTACTTGGTCAAAGTGTATGATTTGATTGACAGCTAGAATAATATAGGGTTCTTTGGTTCTGACATCTGACTAATATGGGTTGAGTCCCAGTTTTTTCAACAACTGTGTGAACTTAGACTTTTCTAACCTTCCATTTGTTAATCTGTAATATTTAGATAATAAGAGAACATGTATAATAGAATATTTGAGATTGCACAAAATAATGCAAGTAAATGTTTAGCAGAGTAAGTATGCAATGTGTACTATGATCATTACTACAACCTTTTATTTTGCATCTGTTGATGCAGGAGTGGTAAATTCATATGACTTTTATAGTGATGAAATTAAGTTGTTCCTTGTTCTTAATTAGTTACTTCCACATATACCTATAAACTATATTTTCAGAATTCTGTGATTCAATTTCAAAGATTTCAACTTTGATGTATTTTCAACTTTTTAAAAGATGAATCCCTCATTAATTTTTTTATTGTGTTTATGGAAGTCACCATTATTCAATTTTCTTTTCTTTCCTCTATGAAGCTTGCATTCATCAGTTGTAAAGAATTGTAAGAAATATGCTGAATATTTAAGGCAGTAGCATTCAATCACTTTCTGTTAACATTTGTGGAAGATCGAATTTAATTCTGTTGTGGATCAGTGACTTGGAAACTTTCCCTAATCCAGCAGC
The DNA here is from genome assembly GCF_000001405.40 of Homo sapiens. Taxonomy (NCBI): domain Eukaryota; kingdom Metazoa; phylum Chordata; class Mammalia; order Primates; family Hominidae; genus Homo; species Homo sapiens. The sequence goes on along the minus strand of NC_000007.14, from coordinate 119,853,513 downwards.
TAGAAGAAGTATAAGCTTTGTTAAACCTTTTACTGAGCCACAAGTTATTCTCAGTGTAATCACGCTATTTAATTCTTTAAAAATATTTGTGAGTTATTAGTCACTTCATACATTTATATGACAGATTTATTTTCTTAATGTTTCCAGTTGAAAAACAATTAGGTTGCATATATAAAAATTAAAACAGCACCTTTCATAAATGCCAAGAAAGTAACACATATCAAACATTGACAGAGGTTCACTATGAAGCTTTTGAGTGATGGGAGTAATATATTGCTAATGATACCAATGGCACTGGGAAAAGAAATTAGCTGGGCTTAGCCGAAGCAGCTGATCAATAGGCATGAATTAATAGACATGAATAATGCCTTTGATATCCATGAGGTCTGATGGATATCATTACGTAAATGATTTAGTTGTTATCAGCCACTAGCATTAATGTTTTCCAAATTGTGCATAAAGGTCAAAAAGCACCATTTAGCTTGATTCATTTTATTAACCAAAAGTTTTTATGATTTTTAAAGAGGTCCCTATCTGATATTGTTCTCATGAAACTTGATACAAATATAACACATGTTAAAATTAGGAGTTCCTGAAACACATATTCCTTCAGAGTTCTTGGCCTTTCTACATATTTGTTCCAGAAGGTCTATTTTAGTACCTGAAAATGACCTAAGAATTATGAATTAAACAAAATAAATAAATCATCAAATACTACATGAATGTTTCTACTAAAGATTTAGAATTTGAGAATATACTTGCTTTTCATAATTTGAGAATTTTTAAAAATACAGACGAAATGGTACAATTCGTTTCTAAAACATTGCTTTTTCAGAATTAAGCAGTTGCTAAAGGTGCCAAATTCATGTAAAATTCTAGTCCAGCATAGTGTTTTGAAATGAAACTTTCTACAATTTATTTTCACCCAAAGTGAATAGTTTGTGCAAAACTGTGATCAATATTCTTTTATCAGTTAGAAGTAGTCTGCTTACTAAAAGGATATATATTTTTTAAAGACCTGGTAAGTTTGTTAAATAAATATGATGCCTTTGGAAAAGTTTTATCTTTTATGAAGTATTCTTTGGGTTTGTGATTATTATCTAAATAATAAAATTTCTTCTAAAATAAAGAATTTATCTGGCATTTAAAATTATTTATTAAATAATCAATTATATATTTAATAAACTATATTTTTTATAGTTTGTAATGAAGCATATTTTTAAAAATAGTCTGTGTGATTGTTCTGAATCCAGTAATGACACAGTAGCATCTATCACATTCATACTCCTGAAGATTAAAACTTTAAACTCTAGGCAAAATTTTTAAAAGACTAAAAATGAAGAATCTGGAAGGTGACCAAAACAGGCATAAACTGTATGAGATTAAACCTTAGAAATAAATAATATCCATGTTTATCTGACTTTTCCTCAAAGGCAACACTGAAGTCTATGCAGTGAGAAATGGCTAAAACTTAAAAATAAAATGTCTCAAGTTGTATTAGAGGAAGACATCATGTTGTCAGAAGAGCTACTAATTGAGAAAGAAGATTCTTTGATGGAGAAATCCCAAAGGGAAGCCCCAAATTCTGCATATACACTCATCTCTCTTCCTGATCTGAATATTGAACTACATTTCAGCAGGTAGATTCTAAAGTCCCCAGAAAAGTGCAGTCTTGAAGAGTTGGAAAGAGCTGAATAAAGATTTAAACAGTTTCCCAAAATAGAAGAGATGTATTTTTGAAATGGAGTTCCACCAAACTTAGGCGTGGGTAGGGTGCTTCAAAAATTAATACCTTTGTCATTAATACACATATAGTCAAAGCTTTGCAAATTCAAAATAACCACCCAGTAATCTGTCTGCCTGGTAGATGAAGACTAACATTGTTTAGGGGCCAATATCAGAATTTAGATTTTCTGCAACATACCAGTCGCCGTATCTAGTATACAATGAATTGCTAACATGTAAGGAAATAGGGCATGTAATCCATAGCCAAAAGGGAACAGTTTTTAGCTGAAACCCAGATGACACAGAATTTGAAATGAGCAGACAAGGATTTTAAACTAGCTATTGAAAATATGCATGTGGACCAAAAAAAAAAAAAAAAAAAGGGTAAGAAAAAAAAAGAACATACGTAAACAAAACAAAGAAAAACAAAAATCCGGGATATTACAGAGGTTAAAATGTACAGCATCATAAAGAAAAATATTACTTGATGGAAATATTAGAAGATTAGAGATGCCAGAAGAAAGGTAAAGATTAGTAGCACAAGTTAAGTTAATCATGTTGAAGAATAGGTGGGAAAATATTATAAAAAAAGTGAAAAGAACCTTAATGTCTTATGAGACAATAAAAAGTAGCCCAACATACCAGTAACTGGAGTCCCAAAGTAAAAGAAATTAGAGATGTTATGAGAAAAAATATTTGAAGAAATAATGATTGCTGCATTTTAGATTCATTATTATAGATCTTACAGAAAAAATTAACATACAAATCCAAGAAGTCAACAAAATATAAGCAGAATAAATACAAAAGACCCACACCTAGTCACATCGTATTCATACAGCTGAAAGTCACATATATAGAGAAGATTTTATAAGCAACAATAGGAAATAAGGCATTAGATATGAGAAGATTTTATAAGCAACAATAGGAAATAAGAAGGCATTAGATATAAGAGAAAACAAACTATGTTTTACAAATCTTGAGCACATACTAGTTGATGTACACAAGAAATGATGATGAAAATATATCACATTCATGACTATAAGAGAAGTCTCAGTTCATTCTAAAATATTGATATTACATCAAGCATATTCTCTGACCACAGTAGAATTGAAATTATGAAGGATAAAATATCCAAAAATGCCAAATGTTTAAAATTAATCAGAATGTTTCTAAATAAGTGAAGAGTTAAAAAAGAAATCACAAGGAAATTATAAGGTCTATTGAACTGTATAATAATGATTTTACAAAATGTCAAAAGTTGTAAAGTGAGTCAATGTACTGGGTGAAACTTACTTATTTCAATCTATAACTTGAAAAAGAATAAAGATCTGAAATGAATGATACACATTTTAATCTTCAAAAAAAAGAGCAAATTAAATCCAAACTAAAAATAGGAAGGAAATAATTTATGTAAGATCACAACTCAATGCAATACAAAGAGACTAACAATAGAAAAAATAACGAGTAAAATTTCATTCCTTAAAACATCAATAAAATCTATAATCATCTAGTAAGTGTGAATCAAGACACTAAAGAGATAATACAAATTATGAAACTCAGGAATAAAAGAGGGATTCTATAGAAATTAAAAGGATAACTTGATAATATTATAAACAACTTTATGCTGATAAATTTGACAATTTAAAATGGATGAATTTCTTAAAAAACAAAACATAAAAACTGATACTAAAAGAAATTAAAAACCTGAATACATCTGTGTGTATCAATTACACTGAATTTGTAGTTTTCGCAAAGTATATAAATGCTTCATATTTTTACTGATAAATTTGAGAAATTGTTAGGAAGGAATAATCACAATCTTAGACTTTGTTTTAGAAAATAGAAGAAAAGAGAAAATACTTCTGTATTTTATGAGACTGTATATGTCTAGCATTGAAACATGAAAAAAAATTATGAGAAAAAATATTTTAAAAGATAAAAATCTGTCATTAACTCGAAGTATACATCCTTAAAATCTAAAATCAATACTATAAGACACACAACTCTCCTTGGACACAGTGTTTTAATACATTAATTATGGTTAGATACTAATTTTGTCAAATAATTTGCCTATCCCTATTTTGATGAGTTTGTGGTTTTACTTTGCAATATGGAAGACCGCATAGATTTTTTTTTCCCAAAAATTAACTGAAAGAAATGATAAAGCCTTATAGAAGAAATGATTGGCCAATTTATCTTAAATATATGCTTCCCTGATATTAGACCAGATAGATTGATCTAATAATTTCATATTTCTTATTATAACTTTAGTGAGTCTTACTTTCACTGAAAGTAGGCTTACTGGAAAGATTCTACAGTTATTTTTAAGCAAAGGTATATGATATATTCATTAAAATCAAAGGGGTTATGGTCAATGATAATCCATCAGAAGTTACATAAGCATAAACCATCCAAGATTACTGAAGTAACAGATTTAATTATTTTGCCTCACCTATGAGTTTAATATTGTGGTATAGTGACAGAGAGATGGTAGAAGGAGAGAGAGACATTTTTTGTAGAGAAAGCGTTCAAATTTGTTTGTAGATTGCATTAAAAATCTTGAATATTTTACTAACAATTTGAGTCATCTGATGTGGACATACATCACTTTAATTTTGTATTGTTTAGGTACCTTTTATCAAATCCACACTGATAACATTTACAGATGGTTTCTTTCCTTGAGGTTTTTAAATAATGGTCACTAAGAAATTAAGCCTACAAAATATCAGATTGTGTCTTTTTGCAATAGATACATGCAGTTCAGTATACCATGCTTCCCTAGTACAAGAGCTAATGGAAAAATAAAATGTGTATTTCAAAGAAGTAGTTGCTCATTCTTTATGAAAATCTTTGTTACATATTTGGCTGTGTTTGTTAGATATCTGCCTTTACCTAAACCCAGTATTTTTCTTCCACATTTGCTAATGAACTACTGAGGATATTAATAAAGTCCAATATAAAAATTGGCTACATTAATTATTAAGGATTGTTGTAAATATCCAAGTCTGACTGAAGAATCATTTACTTAAAGTGGGAAAATTTTAATAGGCTTACTTATACAAATTTACACATTTTAAAAGTTATTTAGGTCAAAATATTTAAATTAATTTTATTTTCAAATAAGGTATTACATTAAAAAATTTGGAAGACCTTGCAGTTGATTGAAAAGTTAAGATATAATTAGGTATTCTTTATTTAAAAATTACCTAAAGGATCATTAGATGTAAACATTTTAATCTTTATTTGTCAGCATTGAGAAATATAAAAATAGCGTATATATCCATGTAACGAGCCATATAGGAGTGTAGATGTGAGGAAATTAAACAATTTCTGTTGATACACGAGGTAGGTGAAAGTGTCAGCTTGAAGAGCTTAAAAATAGAAATAACATTAAAATATATAATAACAACGGCAACAGATGCAATATAAAATCTATACATAAATGTAATGCTCTTGATGTGCCATTATTACCATCTCTGGTTTCCCTAAATAGTAGCAGTTTTTAATTTTCAGTGAGAAATATTATTCATCCATCAGTCTCTTTCTAGGGCCACTCTGTGTTAGTGGACTCTGTAATTGGACAAATTCGTGAAACTTATTAAAGCTAATAGTATCTTTGGACACTTAGACACTGCTATCTCTGTACTTCCTAATATACATCTGTATTTTAGTTCCATAATACTCCATTCTTAGTGATCCAGAAAGTAAGCTTCCATTTTTTTGTGGTAAATTACTTATAAAATCTAACCTCTCAGTAAGTTTTTAAGTATACTTTATGGTATTGTCAACCATATGTATACTTTTTTACTGCAGATCTTTAGACATTTTCATCTTGCGTGACAAAAACTCTGTATCCATTGAAGAATAACACCTCATTTTCCTTCTTGGCAGACAATGGAAACCATCATTCTACTTTATATGAGTTTACTATTTTGGATATCTCATTTAACAGAACCATGCACTATCTGTCCTTCTGTCTGGTTTATTTCACCTAGTATAATGATGTCAGTTTCATCTGTGTAGTATATGGCAGGATTTTTGTTTATTTAGACTGAGTCTCGCTCTGTCACCCAGGATGGAGTGCAGTGGTGTGATCTCAGCTCACTGCAAACTCCACCTCCTGGATTCAAGCGATTCTCCTGCCTCAGCCTCCCGAGAAGCTGGGATTACAGGCACGCTCCACAACGCCTGGCTAATTTTTGTACTTTTAATAGAGAAGAGGTTTACCCATGTTGCCCAGGATGGTCGCGAATTCCTGACCTCAGACTGATGCGCCCTCCATGGCCTCCTAAAGTGCAGGGATTAAAGGTGTGAGCCACCACACCTGACCAGGATTTTATTTTTTAAGACTGAATAAAATTCCATTATATGTTATATACCACGTTTTGATAGGTATTGCATAGGATCTATAATTAGTTATTTTGGTTAGTATGGATATTTCAACAACATTAGGTCTTCCAATCCACAAACACAGGTTACATTTCCATTTACTTGCATCTTTAATTCCTTTCATCAGTGTTTTCGGTATGTATTTTACTTTCTCATTTAAGTTTGTTCCTAAGTATTATATTCCTTTGTTATTATTAAAAATTAGACTTTTAAAAAGATTTTCTTTGTGGATTGTTTGTTGTTATTTTACATAAACACTGGCTTTTGCATATACATTTTGTATGCTGCAATTGCTGAATTCATTTATTATCTTAACTGTGTGTGTGTGTGTGTGTGTGTTTGTGTGTAAGGTGTTGCTTTCTGATATATGGCCTTTTTATGTTGAGGTTATATCCTTTTATTCTTAGTTTGACTTCTTTTATCATAAAAGGATGTTGAATGTTTTTTTCAATGCTTCATTCTATGTCTACTGAGATGATCATGTAATTTTTAACCTTGGTGTATCACATTTATTTTTGTATGTTGAACCATTCTTGCATCCCAAGAATAAGTCCCACTTGATCATGGTATATGGCTATTTTAATGTGCTATTGACTATGGGTTTCTAATATTTTGTTGAACATTTTTGCATCTATATTTATAAGGGGTATTAGCCTGCAATTTTATTTTCTTATAATGTCTTTGCCAGGCTTTGGTATCAGGATAATGGTGGCCTCATAAAATGAGTAAGTATTCTTTCCTCTTCAGTTGTTTTGGAAGAAGTTGAGAAGGATTAGTATTAATTCTTCTGTAAATGTTTGCTTGACATATCCAGTGAAGACATGGTCCTAAGCTTTTCTTTGTCAGGAGATTTTTAATTACCAATTCAATCTCCTTACAAAAAAAAAAAAGATTAGAAATAAACGAAATATATAATAGAGTAACGATTTAAAAATAAAGAGAAATAAAACTTTGTTTTCTGAAAACATCAAGAAACTTGACAATAGCTTTTTTTTTTCCTTCCTACTCGTAACTTTGGATTTTGCTTGTTCCTTTTTTAGAGTTGCTTGAGGTATAAAATTAGGTGGTTTAAATAATATGCTTTCTTTTTCATGTAGAGTTTTACCAGTGTAAACTTTCCTCTTAGTACTGCATTTGCTGTATTTTATCAATTTTTATGCTATATTTTTTCTTTTCGTTTGTATCAAGATGTTGTCTAATTTTTTTAAATTTTTTCTTTGAAGTATTGCTTGTTCAGTACTGTGTTAATTTTCACATATTTCTGATTTTTTTAGTTTTCCTTCCTTTATTGATTTCTTTTTTTATTTTATTGTGGTCAAAAAAGATACTCAGTATAACCTCAATCTTCCTAAATGGGTTAACACTTGTTTTTTGACCTAATATGTGATCTATGCTTGGGAATGTTCTATGCATGCTTGAGAAGAATGTGCATTCTTCAGTTGTTTAATGGAATTTTCCATATATGCTTTTTAGTTCCATTTAATTTATTATGTCATTCAAGTTTTCTGTTTCCTTTTTTGGGTTTTGGTCTTGATATTTTATCCATTATTGAAAGTAGGGTATTAAAATCTTCTAATTTGTGTTGTCTATTTCTTCCTTCAATTCTGCCAATACTTGCTTTATATGTGTGTGTGCTCTGATGTTGGGTGCAAATATATTCATAATTTTATACATTCCTGGTATATTGATCATCTTATTATCATATAATGTTTCTTTATGTCTCTTGTGACAGTTGTTGACTTAGAGTCTATTTTGTCTGATGTAAGTATAGACATTTCTACCCTCTTTTGGTTACTAATTGCACGGAATATTTTTTTACATTCTTTCATTTTCAACCTATGCATGTCCTCAAATGAAAAGTGAATCTTTTATAGAGGGTATGTGGCTGGATCTTGTTTTTTATCCATTCAACCACTTAACGTTCTTTGATTAGGTTGTTTATTTACATTTAAAGTAATTATGGATAGGGAAAGACTTAATATTGCAATTTTCTTCATTGTACTCTCTGTGTCTTATAGGTTTTCTTGTTCCAGTCTTCCTCTTTTGCTGTCTCACATTAGGTTTAGTTGATTTTTATAGTGATATGCTCTGATTCCTTTCTCTTTATTTTTGTGTATCTGATATAAGTATTTTCCTTTTGATTACTATGAAGTTTTCATAAAACAGTTTTTAGTTATAACCAGCTAACTGATAACAATGTAGCATGAATCACATACAAAAACTACTTTTTTTACTCCCGCCAGTTTATTAATATCATAAATTTCATTTTTATATTGTGCATCCATTAAAATATTTATATAGTTATAGTTATTTGTATACTTTTATTTATTAACTTTCATACCAGAATTAAGTGATTTATACACACTTGTTACAGTATTGCAGTATTCTATTTTTATGTGTGTGTGTGTGTTTGTGTATGTGTGTGTGCTCATGTATATCTATCTTTATTGACATAGTTTGGATTATTTGTCCCCACTCAAATCTCATTTTGAAATATAATTCCCAATGTTGGAGGTGATCTCAGTCCTGGTGGGAGGTGTTTTGATCATGGGGGCAGATCTCTCCTGAATGGCTTGGGCCATCCCCTTGGTGATAAGTGAGCACTTTCTCTGAGTTCACACAACATCGGGTGTTTTAAAAGTGTGTAGCACCTCCGCCTTCCACCCACACACACACACTCTCTATTACTCCTGCTTTTGCCATGTGCCACCTTCTCTCTCTTCAACTTCTTTTATGATTGTAAGCTTCCTGAAGCCTCCCAGAAGCTGAGCAGATGTTGGTAACATGCTTCCTACAAAGCTTGCAGACTGTGAGCCAATTAAAGCTCTGTTCATTATAAATTACCCAGTCTTACGTATTTCTTATAGTAATGAAAGAATGATCTAACACAGAAAATTTATACCAAGGAGAGAGGCACTGCTGGAAAGATACTTGAAAATGTAGAAATTGCTTTGGAATTGGGTGAAAGGCATAGGTCTGAAGAGTTTGGAGGGCTCAGAAGAGGACACAAAGATCAAGGAAAGTTTGGAACTTCTTAAGGACTAATTATTAGGCCATTCTTGCATTGCTATAAAGAAATACCTGAGACTAGGTAATTTATGAGAAAACTGTAATTGGCTAACAATTCTACTGGTAACATAGGAAGCATAATGCTGGTATCCACTTCTGTGAAGGTCTCAGGAAGCTTTTCTCATGGCAGAAGGCAAAGCAGGAGCAGGCATATCACATGGCCAGAGCAGGAACAAGAGAGAAAAAGAAAATGGGAGAAGAGGTGCCATATAGTTTTAAATAACCAAATCTTGTGTGAACTCAAAGTAAGAACACATTTATCGTGAATGAGATGGCTCAAGCCATTTGTGAGGGATCCATCCTCATCATCTAAACACCTCTCACCAGGACCTATATCCAACAATGGAAATTGCATTTCAAAATAAGGTTTGGAAGGAGACATACAAACTATATCATCTGCTCCTCACCTCTCAAATAGTATGTCTTTCTCACATTTCAAAATAAAATCATCCCTTCTCAATAGCCTTCCAAAGTCTTAACTCATTCCAGCATTAACACAAAAGTCCAAAGTCTCATCTGAGACAAGGAAAGTTCTTCCACCTATGATCCTGTAAAATCAAAAACAAGTTATTTACTTTCTGTATACAATGGGAGTTTAGGCATTGGGTAAACATTATTATACTAAAAGAGAGAAATTGGACAAAAATAGAGGTTACAGTCCCCATGCAAGTGTGAAATCCAGCAGGGCAGTTATTAAATCTTAAAGTGCCAAAATAATCTCCTTTTACTTAATTTCCCACATCCAGGGCACACCGATGCAAGGGGTGGGCTGCAAAGGCCTTAGGAGCTCCATCACTGAGGCTTTGCAGGGTTCAGCCTCTGAGTCTGCTCTCGGAAGTTGTAAAGTGCCAGTGGCTATTCCAGGTTCAAGGTACAAGCTGCAGGTAGATCTACCATTTTGGGGTCTGGAGCATGGAAAACCCCTTTTCACAGCTATACTAAGCAGTGTCCCAGTGAGGACTCTGTGTGGGGACTCCAACCCCATATTTTCCCTTGGCACTGGCCTTGTAGGAATTCTCTGAGGCTGTTCCAATGCAGCAGGTTTCTGTCTGGACAGCCAGGGTTTTCCATATATTCACTATGAAATCTAGATAGAGGTAGAGGTTGCCAAGCCTCATTCACTCTTGCACTCTCTGTGCCTGCAGAATTAACATCACATGGAACCACCAAGGCTGAAGGAGTGGCCCAAGTTTTACCTGGGGGCCCTCTGAGCTGAAGCTGTAGCTGGAGCAGATTGGATGTAGCAAGCATTATCCCGAGGCTGTGCAGGGTAGCAGGACCTTGGGCCTAGCCCATGAAACCATTTTTACCTGCTAGGACTCTTGGTCTGTGAGGGGTGGGGCTGCCAAAAAGGTCTCTGACAGGCTTTCAAAGCCTTTTCCCATTGTCTTGGATATTAGCATTTGGCTCTTTTTTAGTTATGTAAATATCTCTAGAAGTGATTGCTCCACAGCCTGTTTGGATTCCTCTACCAAAAGAGCTTTTTATATATGGCCAGGATGCAAATTTTCCAAACTTTTGTACTCTGCTTCTCTTTTAAATATAAGTTCCAAATTTAAGTCATTCCTTTGATCCTAGATAAGAGCATAGGCTGTTAGAAGCAGCTGGGACACATCTTCAATGCATTGCTGGTTAGAAATTTCTTCCACCAGATACTCTAAATCGTCATCCTCAAATCCAAACTTCCACAGATCCTGAGGGCATGGATACAATGTAGCCAAATTCTTTGCAAAGGCATAACACAAGGCAGTTTTGCTCTAGTACAAAATAAGTACCTCATTTCCATCTGAGACTGTGTAAGCTTGGATTTTCACTTTCAGTATCACTATCAGCATTTTGGTCACAATTAACCAGTCTCTAAGAAGTTTCCAACTTTCCCTGATTTTCCTGCCTTCTTCTGAACCCTTCAAACTCTTCCAACATCTACCTGTTACCAGTTCCAAAGTTGATTTCACATTTTCAGGCATCTTTATAGAAATGCTCTACTCTCTGGTACCAATTTTTGTGTTAGGCCTTTTTTTAACTATATAGAAATACCTGAGAATAGATAATTTATAAATAAAAGAGGTTTAATTGGCTCATAGTTCTTTAAGCTTTACAGAACACATGGTGTCAATATCTGCTCAGCTTCTGGAGAGGCCTCAGGAATCTTACAGTTATGGCAGAAGTTGAAGAGTCACATGGCAAAAGCAGGTGTAAAAAAGAGAGTGAGGGAGGTGCCACACTATTTTAAATAACCCAACGTGTGAACTCAGAGCAAGTGCTCACTTAACACCACAGGGATGGCCCAAGCCATTAATGAGGGATCTGTCCCCATGATTAAGACACCTCCCAGCAGGCCTGAGCCAACCTCCCACTTTGGGAATTGCATCTCAACATGGTAGGGGCCAAACATCCAAACTGTGTCATTCTACCCCTGGACCCCCCAAATCTCATGTCCTTTTTACATTGCAAAATACAATCATCCCTCTCAACAGACCCCCAAAGTCATATATCATTCCAGCATTAGCTCAAAAGTCCCAAGTCTCATGTAAGAAAATGAAAGTCCTTTCCATTGATGAGCCTGTCAAATCCAAACAAGTTATTCACTTCTAAGATTCAATGAGGGTATAGGCACTGGGTAATCTTTCTCATTTTATTAGCCAAAAGAAAGGGGCTTTAGGGCCTGTGCAAGTTTGAAACCCAGTATTGTAGCTGTTAAATTTCAAAGCTCCAAAATAATCTCTTTCGACTCCACTTTCCACATTCAGGGCACACTGATGCAAGGGGTGGGCTCCCATGGCCTTGGGCAGCACTGCCTTTGTGGCTTTTCAGGGTTCAGCCCCCATGACTACTCTCACAATTTGAGTGCCTACAGCTTTTCCAGGTATAGGATGCAAGCTACCAGTGGATCTACCATTATGGGGTCTGGAGGATGGTGGCCCCATACTCATAGCTACACTAAGCTGTGCCACAGTGAGGACTCTGTGTGGGGTCTCCAATCCCACATTTCCCCCTGGGACTGCCCTAGTAGAGATTCCATGTGAGGGGTCTGTCTCTGCAGCATGCTTCTGCCTGGGCATCTGGGCTTTTTTATATATCCTGTGAAATCTAGGTGGAGGCTTCCATGCTTTTTTTACTCTTACACTCTGCATACCCACAGGCTTAACACCACTTGGAAGATGCCAAGGCTTTTGGCTTGCTTATACCTTCTTGAGCTGGAGCAGCTGCTCGAGCTGTACCTGGGACCCTTTGTACCACGGCTGGCATTGGAGTGGATGGAAAGTGAGGAGAAGAATCATGAGGCTGCTCAGGGCAGCTGGTCACTGGGCCTGGCCCACAAAACATTTTTTTTTTCTTCTAGGCTTTTGGTCCTGAAATGGGAGGGGATGACATAAAGGTCTATGAAATGCCTTTGAGATATTTTCCCCATTGTCTTGAATATTAGCTCTTGACTCTCTTTTAGCTATACAGAAATCTCTAGCAAATGGTTTCTCCACAGCCTACTTGAACTCCTCTCTCCCAAAAGCTTTATATTTCTCTGTCACATGGCCAGGATGCAAATTTTCCAAATGTCTCCCCTGTGCTTTCTATTTAAATAGAAATTCCAACTTTAAGTCATTTCTTTGCTTCCACATCTGAGTGTAGAGTATTAGAAGCAGACAGGCCACATCTTGAATGCTTTGCTGCATAGAAATTTCTTCCATCAGATATTCGAAGTCATTACTCTCAAGTTTAAACTTCCAGGGATCCCTGGGGCAAGGATAAAATATAGCCAAGTTCTTTACTAAGGCATAACATACATGACCTTTGCTCCAGTTCCAAATAAGTTCCTCATTTCCATTCAAGGCAGTGTCAGCCTGATCTTCACTATCCATATCACTATCAGCATTTTGGTCATGGCCTAATACACCTACGATGAAGCATTATACTGTTATATACTTTTGTATTGTCATCTAGTATTATTTCATTTCAACTTTAGAAACTGCCTTTAGCATTTTACTCCAGTAGTGATGAACTCCATCAGCATTTCTTTATCTGGAAGAGACATTATTTTTTCTTCAGTTAGGAGAGTAGGTTTGCCAGATACAGTATTCTTGGAGTGTATTTAGTTTTTTTCTTTTTTCTTTTTCTTCAATACTTTATATATCAACCCATTCCCTTTTGGCCTGCAAGTTTTCTGCTGAGAAATTTGCTGATAGTCTTATGGATGCTCCCTTTTATGTGACAGATTGCTTTTCTCTTGCACCCTTCAAAATTTTCTCTTTGTGTTTAACTTTTATCAATTTGACTGTAATGTGTCTTGGTGTAGAATTCTTTGGATTTATTCCAGTTGAAGTCCTTTGGGCTTTCTGAATCTGAAGATTAAATTTCCTTCCTAGATTTGAGTTCACTTTGTCATTATTTCTTTAAATAATCTGCATCTCTCTTTCTTTTTCTCTTCTTCTTCTGGAAACTTCATGAGTCTTTTAGGGTTTCTTTACTTTTTTAAATTAAAATATTTTTATCTGAATAATTTCAAATGACTTGTTCTTAAGTTTGCTAATCCTTTGTTCTGCTTGCTCTAGTCTGCTGTTGAATGTCTCTAGAAAACATTTTAGTTAGTTCTTACATATTTATGCACCAAAATATCCCTTTGGTTCTTTTTATATATTTTCTATCTCTATGTTGATATGACATTTGGTTTATATATTTTATTGAATTCATTGAGCATCATTATGGTAATTTTGAATTTTTGTCATGTAATTTACATAATTCAATTATGTTCCTTTAATTGAGCCATGTTTCTCTGATTTTTCATGTGTTTTATAAGTTAGTGTTGAGATCTGCACATTTGAAAGAACAGCCACCTCTGCCAGTCTTTATAACCTGACTTTTTATGGGTATAGACCTTTATCAATCAGAAAAAGTAGCACTTCTGGGGGCCTCTCAAACCCTTTTTGTGAATGCATCTTCTCTGGACTTGGGTTTGTTCTTTTCTTTTTGCAGAAGATCATAATTGTTTTTTCCCTCTGGTGTCTGTGGTCACGGTTCTCCAGAGCTGCTGCAATCTATCCAGCCCTCTTTTGGTTTCAGAACCTCCCAGGCTTCTAGAGTATTATGGATCTCATTAATGCTCTGACTTACGTGTGACAGAAACCATTTCCTTGGGAAGCTCCCTGAAAAGCAACATGGTTGCATGCATACTCTGTGTCAGGCCTCTGAGCCCAAGCTAAGCCATCATATCCCCTGTGACCTGTGTGTATACATCTAGATGGCCTGAAGCAACTGAAGATCCACAGAAGAAGTGAAAATAGCCAGGTCCTGCCTTAACTGATGACCTTCCACCATTGTGATTTGTTCTTGCCCCACCCTAACTGACCAATTGACCTTTTGACAGTATACCCTCCCCGCCCTTGTGATAATGTACTTTGTGATATTCCCCTGCCCTTAAGAAGGTACTTTGTAATATTCTCCCCACCCTTGAGAATGTACTTTGTAAGATCACCCCCTGTCCATAAAAAATTGCTCCTAACTCCACCGCCTATCTCAAACCTATAAGAACTAATGATAATCCCACCACCGTTTGATGACTCTCTTTTTGGACTCAGCCCACCTGCACCCAGGTGATTAAAAACTTTATTGTTCACACAAAGCCTGTTTGGTGGTCTCTTTACACGGACGCGTGTGACACTCTACCCTTTTCTTTTCCTGATAAATGAGAGATTGCGAAACTGTATTGGTCTCTGTGTGCTATATGTCAGGTCCTCTAGAACAGCAGTAAGGTGCTCAGCTCTCTTTTGTTCTCAGAGGCCCTCAGATATATATAATATGCCAGATCCACTTAGTGCTTTAAGACAGGTGAAACAGAAACAAGTTTTCTGGTCATCCCCCCAAAACTGAAACATTTGATGGAGAGTTTAGCTCTTTTCCTTTCCAAGGAGAATCTGGGAGATAGGGGTTTTCTCCTACTCATTCCACCCTGAACAAAGGGTAGTGCATTAGGTGAGTTGGTACATGCTAGTCCAAATTTTCACATGTGTTTTCATTGGCCCCTAATCTGATGCACTTTTCTATTGGTCCTTGATTCAGGCAAGATGGGAACCAATTTCTCTGGCAGACTCTCAAAAACTTTGCATCTTAGATATACATTTCAGGCTTTTCTATCCTTCCTTAGGGAGAAGCTCGGAGTTGGGAGTGTTTTCACCAATCACACCTGGCTGAACCAGGGAGAGTGACTGTGACTATGGTGAAATTCATGAATTTTTCTATCAGCTTTTGTGCAGCTTGCTTTATGGTTCAGGAACTTATTTTTTTTTTCTTTTTTTCTTTTCTATTTTTTTTTGAGACAGAGTCTCACTCTGTCATCCAGGCTGGAGTGCAATGGCACAATCTCAGGTCACTGCAACCTCCACCTCTCAGGTTCAGGCCATTCTTCCTGACTCAGCCTCCTGAGTAGCTGGGATTACAGGCACCCACCACCACGCCTGGCTAATTTTTGTATTTTTAGAAGAGATGGTGTTTCACCTGTTCGCCAGGCTGGTCTCGAACTCTGGTTCAGGAACTTCTTAACAGTTTTCTGGATTTTTCACACAGGGTCTTTTTTTCATGTATTGTTGAATTGAAGTGTTTGTTTTGTTTTGTTTTGTTTTTTGTTTTTGTGGGGAAGAAGGGTCTGGAACTTCCTATTTTGCCATTTTGCTGAAAGTAATTTTGCCATTTTAGAAAGTAATTATATAAGCTTTAGATTATTTTTATATGAGTGAGACTCAACTATTGTACGATTTTTTTTTCTTTTGTGACATTTATTTATCTGCAATTTGAAACTAAGGAAAGTAGCAGCTGACCCTCAAAGCTCCCAAGCAGATAATTTAAGTCTTTTTTTGACATTAGTTATGAACATCAGAGAGATGGAGGCTGAAGCTTAATTAAGTTTCCATATACTCACAGACTAGATGGAGTTTTCTTTGGTAAAATAAAAATGAAAGAAAAATTCATCTGTGGACTGATTTCCCTGTGCTCTCTTTCACTGCTCATGTTCAAAAGTTCCAAGGGCTAATTTTAAGATGGAAAAAAATAGAAAAGGAAAGTAATAAATATAAATGAGAAGTCCTTCAAAATTATGAAACTATAGTCATCTCTCCTTATCTGTGGTTTATTCATCATTTGAAACAGAAATGTTTCAAATCTAAAACATTTGAAAAAATAAAATTAATACAAATTTTAAAAAATGATATGACAACTATATAACATTTACATTGTATTAGGTATTATGTCATCTAGATATGATTTAAAGAACAGGAGAGAATTTGCTTTGTTTATATGCAAAGAATACATCATTTTATATCAAGGACTTGAGCATCCATATATTTGGATATGCACTGGTGAGTAGGAGGGCTAGGGAGGGTCCTGAAATCAATTTCCCACAGATATTGAGGAATGACTGTACAGTGTACATTTTCAGTCTGAAAGCAGCAGGTATTTTATGAATGTATGAAGAATACCAGATTACCAGAACAAAATTACATGCTTTCCATACCACTCCAATTTTTTAATCTCATTTTTTATAATAATTTTTTTAAAAGTTTGACTAAGTTTTTTGTTTTACCTCAGCCTTCACACGATACCCAGCATAAATTTACCATTACTAATTTGAATTTCCTGTAATTAATAATAATACATAATACTGGAAATGGATTCATCTTAATAAGAAAGCTGAACTACATCTGAAATTTTTATTCATGTTTTATGATACACAGAACAAAATGACACTTTTGTACCTAGCCACTTCTAAGTAAATGGTTTATTGTCTACTACAAAAAATTGAGACCTTTCTTACCGTTGTATGTTCTCAAACTAAGAGGGAGGTTTGAAGTTGGTGGATGTTTGTTATTCCAAGCAGTATATTGTAGTTTGTAATTCTGTTGCCTTCTGAGGTATTTATGAACTATCCCCTACTTGTTATTTAAGGAACTGATTTTCAGTTAATGGTCCTTAGATTAGCTGAGGCAGATACTGAACCACTGAAAATGGACAGTTAGCAAAAATTGGAAACTCTTAGAATCTCAGATCTCACTCTGGGTAAAAAATCACAGATAATATGTACTAATAGAGACACCTGAAGGTCTCCCATAGCTCTATGCCCTTTCAAGGTAATACATAAATAAATGAGACTTTGTAATCATTCTACTGATTTAATAAAGCCAATTTATGTATTTTGGAAAAAAATGATTAAAGCACCTTTTAATAAAATAATGTCCCAATTGCACATGATAGTTTATTCACTACTTAAGCTATAGTAAACTACTATTAAACAATATAAAATATATGTATGTTTATGTTTATTGAGTGCACTTAGTTGACATTTAGCTTGTCACCTAGAGAATTCATTGACAGGCTGTTATATGTATTCAATATCATCACTTTCTTTTCTTGCAATAAGCGAAAATAAGAAATGAAATGTCCTCATTAATGTTTAAATATCCCATAAATAATTTAATTTACGCCTTAATAAGTAAATGCAAGTGGATAAGAAGCTAAATCAATGGCATTTTCTACAACTTAGTCTCTTTCTTTCTTTAAGCAAACTTGTGCCAAATTAAGTGAATTATACTAAGAAGCATTTTATTGCTCTATTTCCCTGTTTACTTGGATTTTGGAGGGTTTAAAAAAACTAACATTGAATTTTAGATACAAATAAGATTTTTGCAAAGGCTCCTAGATTGTGGTGCATGCTCATGTTCTTTATACTAAGTAATAGAGCATTTGATATAGGTAGATTCCAATCACCTAATTCAGGTGAGCCTAAGTCTAATCATGGCTTTTGGTCATCTCTTCATCTCAAGAACTGGATAGTTAGCAAATTACTAGCTGCTTCCTTCTGGTGTCACCTTATTAATAAGAGAAATTTAGTTATTCTCACCATATTTCCTCTATTGATGAGCCATTGCCTTTAATACATTTCAAACCATGTGGTACAATGTAAAAAATGAGTGGAGGCATCACTCATTTATAAATAAATTTATAAATAATTAACATACTGCCTAAACCATGGCTTAGGTAGCTCTATCTCTATGGAACATTAGGAATCAGTTGTAGAAGTCTACACATTTCAGTCATGATATATTCGAAATGCAGTCCTTTTAAATGATTGTCCTTTTTTAGCATATTTATTTTATAGGTTATGCAACACAAATTATTTTTCCAAGAAGTCTATGTGTCCTCAAAAATTCAAATGGTAGATGCTTTGAGATGTGCAATGTACTTTAAAATATTTCAACATAGGCAGTATGGTATTGTGTATTCATTCATTAGTTTAAATTTCACTTAGGATTCTTCAGTTTCCCTAATCAGAAATTTACATCTAAGATGTGGTTCATTAGCATTATAATTAGAAAGTCTCACTCTGTAAGTGACTTCCAGAAGTGCTTCATTTATCTTTATATCTGTTCAAGTTTAGCAACTTTTTTATTAGAACAATAGATATTAGAAGTGTGTGTGTGTGTGTTTCTAACATACAAATGATGTGGATTTTCTAACATATCATTGAGTCAATCTTTCTCCTTGCAAGAATGGCATTTAAAACTCTTGAACATCATGTAGCTTGTATTCTTAGGGATAACACATGGACCTTGTTTTTTAAAGGTCTTAGGTTATCTGCAATTGAAGGATCATGGTTATGGTTGAATGAAGCCAATAAGGTTAACTGAACCTGCCTCCACAATATGGAAACGTTTACCTGAAATAAATTTTTATTGAAAAATGTGATTTGAGCAGTTAAACTATAGGCAGCTAAAACTTTATTCAGATGATGAAATAATTTGAATAACTTTTTATGCTTGTTTTATTACCTAAGTTTAGATTTAAGTTAGAATTTAATCTGATATGACATGCTTTTATTTTACCTGGTTGCTAGATCTTTAGTTAGTAGCTGATTTTAACCAAAAATTAGCGACTCTATACTCTCATTTGCCAACAATGATCTGTTAATTATACATGAAATGATATAGGCTACTTTGTAACGATACGAGACTCTTGTATGCAATACTTAAAATATTAGATTGAACACTTTTGTGTTCCATCTTTCTATTGTATGTACTTGCTCCACAAAGTCTTAGGCAAAATTTTAAGGTCTAAAATTTTTCTAATATTTATTATATAATCAATGATATTTTCTTCCTCATGGGAAATAAATAAACAATGTATTACAAACTTTCCATGAAGAAAGTCACCAAGTTATTTTCTCCTTTTCTAGCAAGATAAAATTTGCATTATTGCAACAAATAATATGTAAAATATGTAATGTTTCTCTGAGAAATCTGCCAAGAAATTGTGCCACTTTACTGTATAATTTAGTCCATTCAGGTTCTGGAGACAAAAAGGACAAGATCAAAAGTGCAGGAAGAATCCATGTTTGGTGACTACCCATTCCTTATAGATCGCGCCTTTTCTCGCATGCTCACATGGTAGAAAAAGCAAGGCAACCCTCTGGGCCTCTTTTATAAAGTCACTAATCCCATTAATGAGGGCTTTGCCTTCATCACCTAATCACTCCCAAAGTCCCCACCTCCCAATACCACCATCTTTAGGGTTAGGTTTTCGACACATTAATTTTGAGGAAACATAAACATTCAGACTATAGAAATAATATTGCTATTATAAATGACCCATCCATTGTACTGTCAACTGAAGAATGATGAGGTTCACAAATTTGGAAAGGAGAGCTTTTTTCTCATAAAGGGTTGTAGCTTGCAAGGTGGCCATGCTGACAGACTGGGCAGCATAGCCTCTGGTCAGAAGCTGGAAGCAGACATTTCAAATGAGGAGCAAAGGGAACAGGCATTTATGCTGAGCAGGATGGCCAAATACACATATTCATTAAGCCACAGGAGGAGTCATGGATATTTATGAAAGGAGAAATGTGTGCATGTGCAATGGCACTTCATGCCCCTTCATGGGTCTCATGTTCAAAAAATGACAGTGTTAGCAGGATCTGACAGTGAAGTTTTCCACCTTCTGACATTAAAGTGTGAAGCAAAGGACGTGAAAACCCTTACTGTGCATTCTCTTTAGACTGGCCAGAAACATCCCGTGATTGGTGGTCTCCTATCAAGTAAAAATGAAGGGGCAGCATAAGATGGTTGGCTGATATCCGTGGTAGAGTCTTTTGAAAAAGCTGGTTTCTGTTTGACCCTTAGGGAAGAAAGGCCAATTGTGGTTAGCAGGGGGAGGCAGTATAAGGAGGTATGTCTTACACCCCTTCCAATCATGTCCAAGAATTTAGTTTTCAAGATTGCTCTGGCATCCCCATGGCCAAGAGATGGTCTGCTTACAATTTTATCTTTAGTTTACAGTACCTATCTCAAAGGATAAAATAACTTTGTGAAGTTATGAATAGATTTCAAACTAGACAATGTATCAGAAGAGTGGTATCTAAGGACTAAAACATGCTGCTTTTCAATTTCAAGCAGAACTCAGACATTTCCCCACGTTCCTAAAAAACCATTAATAATTTAAGATGGTAAGAAATTAAAATAAAATTCTGAGCCCTTAAGTGACTGAAGAGGGCCCCTCTTGGCCATGAGGACCACAGGGAACCCTTGGAATCTGAGTTCCATGGCCGCCACGAAATGCTGGACAAGCCTCATCATACCCACTCCCTGACTAACCCTATTAGATTTTCATCCGTAAGGGGCCAAATATAACCCAAACCTTTCAAAGACTCCACAATGTTAAAATTGATTACTAGCATATTGTCCCAGGTACAGAACACAGACAAGATGAAATTAATCATTCTTTCACCCTTTCCTGAGATGTCTGCTTCCTCTATTCTCTTTTTCTTCAGATATTCACCTTATTCTTTGTAAAATGTAGATTCGTTGGGTGCTAACTACAGTCTCACAAGTGTGTAATCATGCATTGCATTCTTCCCCCTTTTAAAGGAAAATGTATAAGTACTAAATCTCCTCGCACCTCCATGGAAAAAAAAAAATCCCTGTGTGCCACAGATGTGTCTGTGACTTGCGTTTTTTTAAGGCACACCCTCAAACTGTCTCAATAAACATTGATGATTTGAGACTCAAGCCTCAGTCACTCATTTTGGTTGTCAGTGGCAATACAGGTAATAGTTGAATGTTGGTAATATTTTTTATAAGTCTAAAATGGATGTTTTTAACTGACTAGTGAAATTATTTTTGATATTTTAAAAAATCTACATTCTTTCATATTTAAAGAAACAAAAGTAAGCCACTTTGAAAGGATCACCTAAGTATTTTTAATCTCATGCTATAAAATGTTCCAGTATAAAAAAACTGAGAATTCATATGGGGGTTAATTTAGTGTACTTTGTATTTTAAAAGTTTCTAATGGACAAATTATTTAGGTTGTTGCAAACAATGAGGAAAGAGGAAGCCCACGTTGGCTTTTTAGGATTTGGCTTTGTACGTAGGTAAAATCCTAAAATAAAGACAACAGATATATTCATACATTATAGAGCATTGATGATACTGTATTTTAAAATTAAGCATTACAGTAAAAATATAATACAGTTTAAGTAGCCATAATTTCTGTTACTTTTGGGCCTGGTAGCCAATGTACCAAATATTCACTTTGTCAGTAGGCTGGAGTCATCCCACACAATATGTAATTTATCATTCTTTCTCTCAGAAGGAATTCAGTTGTCAAGGCAAGACCAACGTCTTGGCCTACTGGTATTCTATAAACTTAATATTCATACTGATTTCAGATCCATTTAGTTCATGGAAACAATCCGTATTTCATTTATTGACTCATAACAGAGTAACACAATTTATAAATCCTTAGAATAACTACTCTAGAGAAAGAGAGAAGGACAGAGAGATGGACACACACACACACACACACACACACACACACACACACACACACATACACACAGAGAGAGAGAGATAGAGAGAGAGAGAGAGAACAAATTACCAGAAGCAGAAGGAGGGAAACATAAAAATACTAAAAGGATGAGGCGATAAAATGACAATATCATGCCAATATCACTGACATCTTGGATGAAATAAGAAAATTCTTTGGCAAAGCATCCTACAGAAATTGACAAAAGAAGAAAATAGATCTGAATAGCCTTATATCTGCTTAGGAAATTAAATCTTTTATAGGAAACCTTATCTTATAAAAACAGATATAATTGTTTCCACCAGAAGAAATAATAATAATCTGAAACAGAATTTTTCAGGAAATGCATGGCGATGAAAAAAGTTTTTAACTCATTTTATGATCCCTGAATAACTCCAATATCAAAACTTGTAGGGACATTACAAGAAAAAAACTTATCAAAAGCAATGCCACTCATAAGCACAAGCACAAAATTTCTTTTAAAAAGCACAGCAGATGTTGAAATAAATAAAGAGAGTAATAAATAATGATCAAGTGAATTTACCTAAGGAATGTTAAGATTTGACATTCACAAATCAAACTTTGTATTTCACACTAATAGATGAAAGAAGAAAACAATATGATGGTCAAAGTAGACTCATTAAAAGCATTTGACAAAATCCAAAGCCTACTCACAGTAAAAGTTTCAGCAAACTTGAAATAAAAGGAAATTTCCTCAGTATGATAATGACATATACAGTGTAATATTTTAAATGGTTTCTATTTAAGACCAGAATAAAAAGTACCTGTTCTCATCATTTTTATTCAACATTGTTATGGAGTGAATTATGTTACCCCACAAATGTATATGTTGAAGCCCTATTTCCCAATGTGACTATAATTGGGAAGTAATTAATGTTAAATGAGATCATAAGGGTGGAGCCCTAAGGCAATATGACTGCGGTCCTCATCAGAAAAGAGACACAAGATACGCATGTACCCAGAGGAGAAGACCATGTGAGGACAGAGTAAAAATACAAGTATCTGTAAGCCAAAGAATGAGAGTCCTCAGGAGAAATCAAACCTGCTGGCAACTTATCTTGGAATGCCAGCCCCTAGAACGGTGAGAAAATCAGTTTCTGTTGTTTAAACAACCCAGTTAACCATTTTTTGTTATGGCAGTCCTAGCAGACTAATATAAGACATATATTATATCAAAGATTTTAGCCAGTGAAATAAAATAATAAATAAATCACAAACATTTTGGAATAGGAGACATATAACAGTTTTTACTTGCAGGACGTATAATCCAGTATTTAGACAATCTTAGGATATCTCAAAAAAATAAATAAAATAATAAATTTTTGTAAATCTTGAGATTCAGTACAAGCAAAAAAAAATTGCAAAATTAAGTACATATAAATAGAAGATGCATCAAAAGCATGAAAAGGAATAGGATCAAATGTAATAAAAGAGCTATAAAACTGCACCGCAAACCACAAAACAGTGTGGAAATAAGCAATACTAAAGTAAATAAATAAGCACTCTGTTCATGGATAGAACAACTAAAAATTAAGTTGTTAATTCTGCCCTAAATAAAAAATCCAATAATTGTAGAAATTGGGTAGGCTGATACTAAAATTTACTTGGGAATACAAATAACACAAATAAGCCACACCGGGTTTAAAAGGAGAGAATAAATGGGGCAAGGTTAATACATTTTTCTATTAAAAAAACTTACTATAGAGCTACTGAAATCAAGATATTAGAGATAAGAGCAGAAAACTAGATCAATGGAATAGAACACAAAGTCCAGGAAAAAGAAAAATAGGTGCAGTTAGATGATATTTGACTAAGACTTTAAAGCAATTCAGTAAAGAATAGTATTTTAACTGGTGATAATGGGCAAGTACACACACACACACACACACACACACACACACACACACACGTGGGGGAATGACCATCTCCAGCTGACAGTATACACAAACCTTAATTTGAGCTAGACAATACACTTAAAAGTTAAAAAAATTTTTCTAGAAAAAAACATAAGAGAATGGGTTTGTGGTCTTGCGGGTAGACATAATTTTTAGAGACAAAAAAGTTGACAAATTGAAATCAATTATTTTAAAACACACAACTTCTGCCCTTCATAAAAATTAGTTAAGAAAATTAAAGCACAAATGACAAACTGGGAATTGGCAGTTTCTTATAAAGGTAAACATGCACCTAACCTAAGACCTAGCAATTTACTGTTCAGTATTAATTAACTCAAGAGAAATAAAAATATGTATCTATGAAATGACTCATAAAATAATGTTTATAGTATATTTATTCATGATATCTACAACTGGGAACCACGTTAAGGTATATACTCACAGAAGAATAAATAAATTTGATAAATTCACTTGTTGGAATATTTCTCAGAAATGATAATGAATGAATAAATGCTATACAATTTGGCTAAATCATAAAAATGTAATGTTGAGCAATAAATTCAGAAATGAAATATAACATTCTCTATGTTTTCATTTATGTGCGTTTCAAGAATAGGCAAAACTAATCTCTGGTGATAAAAAAGTATCAGCACAGTGGTTATCTATTGGGTATAGAAGATGACTTCAAAAGAGAGAAATAGCTTTCTTTGTTCATGGAAATAGTCTATAGATTGATAAAGGAACTGGTTATATGGAGATATTTGCCAAAATTATCTACTTGAGTATTTAAGATTATGCATTTCACTAACATAAATTTTATATCAGTTAAAAAATAAAACAAGACTTTGGATTTGATCTATGTGCTTGAAAATTTGTCCTCTAGATATCTGGAGTCTAGAAGAGTTTACTGATTCTGATATTTCTTGCAACTTCCAAGGATACTCTAGCTAAATATTTACTGCATAATTTCCTAGGCATACCATAAGAAAATACTGTATATTGGGTGGCTTAAACAAGAGAAATATGTTTTCTCACAGTTCTTGAGGCTGGAAGCCTAAGATCAAGGTGTCAGAAGTTTTAGTTTCTCCCAAGTGCCCCCTCCATGGCTGCCTTCTCATTGCATCCTCACAGGGTCTGTTCTTTGTGTATACATCACTGGGATCTTCTTCAGCCTGTAAGTTCACCAAATATATGGTATTAGTAATAATTAAAGCCATACCACCCTTATGATCTTTTTGTTGAAAAAAAAAAAAAGCTTTGTTGAGATTCGATTCAGAAACCACACAATTCATCCACTTAAAACATACAATTAAATGGCTTTTATTTTGTTCACAGAGTTGTGCAACCGTCACCACAGTCGCTTTTAGAACATTTTCACCATCTTAAAAAAAACCCTGTATCCTCACACCATCACCCCCTACATCCTCCTACCCTCATCCTATCCCTCAGCAACCACTAATATACTTTCTATCACCATAGATTTGCCTATTCAGGACAATTCTTATGAGTAGAGTTATATAATTTGTGGCCTTTTGTGATAGGCATCATTCCCTTAGCATAATGTTTTCAAACTTGTAGCATATGTCAGTACTTTGATTCCTTTTAATGGCTGCATAGTATTCTACCATATGGATATATCACATTTTGTTCATTTATCACTTCTTAGATATTATGGTTATTTTAACATTTTGGTTCTTGTGAATAATGCTACAAGGTTTTTATGACGAATACTGCAAAAGCAACTGCAACAAAAACAAAAATTGGCAAGTGGGACCTAACTAAACTAAAGAACTTCTACACAGCAAAGGTAACCTTACTAAACTAAAGAATTTCTGCACAGCCAAGGTAACTATCAATAGAGTAAACAGACAATCTACAGAATGGGAGAAAATATTTGTAAACTACACATCTGACAAAAGTCTAAAATCCAGAATCTATAAGGAACTTAAATCAACAAGCAAAAAACCAACAATCCCACTAAAAATGGGAAGAAGATACGGACACATCTCAAAAGAAGACATACACATGGTCAATAAGCACATGAAAAAAATGCTCACCATCACTAATCATTAAGAAAATGTAAATCAAAACCACAATGAGATACCATCTCACACAGTCAGAATGGCTCTGAAAAAAAAGTCAAAAAATAACAGAAACTGACAATGTTTTGGAGAAAGGGGAACAGTTAGACACTGATGGTGGGAATTTAAATTAGTTCAGGCACTGTGGAAAGTAGTTTGGAGATTTCTCAAAGAACTTAAAATAGGACTACCATTCAACTCAGCCATTCCATTACTGAATATATATACCCAAAGGAATATAAATAGTTGTACTATAAAGACACATGCACACATATGTTCATTACAGCACTGTTCACCACAGCAAAGACATGGAAGAGTGTAAGAAGGTCATTGCTGTGCTAAAATAATTCATCTTTCAGAATACAACAGAGAAACTGATTAGTAGCACATAGCCTGAGATTCTTATTATTTTGATCTCCCTCTACATTTAATATGTCTTTTGGAAGAGTTATTTGTTGCTTTGTTGGTGCTGTTGTACAAAACAATAATCTGGCTGGAATTAGGCTCATATTGTGAAGAATATAATCATTGTAAGAAGAGGGTAAGAGTGAATTACTTTATGTGTTAAATCATAGAGGATTTTTGAACCTCTTGAATTTTGAACTTCAGTTTCTTAGGAATATTAATATTAGATTAATAAAAATATCAAGTATACCATAATAGAATAAAGTTTATATGCAAATTTCAAGTATTTCTACATTTCTAAAAATTGAAATATCAAAATATGTACATTTATTTCCATTGCGTAATCTCTGATGAGAACAATGCATAACATTGGTTGTAGGTTACACTATGGTCCTTTGGAGAGTAAAGTCAAAACTGCCTACCAGTGGTCTATGGAGTGTCTATGAAAGACTGGCAGCTGATTGTGAGTAGTCCCATGAAGGAAGGACACAGGGTCAATTCTAAATTGTAATATTTAAGAGATCAAAAACCTATGAAATATTCAGGAGGATGCTTATTATACCCTCTTATTTTCTTAAGGGGGGATTTTTTTCATGAATACTCTTGGTATCCTCCCCTTCCTTCTTATGTTTCTACTGGGGATTAGATGAGTCATGTAGTTGGTAGCTGTCTTAGTCTATTAGTATGGCTATAACAAAATACCTGAGACTAAATAATTTATAAGTAATATATATTTATTTCTTATAGTTCTAGAGGCTAGGAAGTCTAAAATAAGGCACTGAGAGTCTGGATGCCTGCTGAGGGTCTCTTCTAATCTCACAGATTAGGTGGCTCCTCTTCTGTTTCAGCACATGGTAGA
This sequence comes from Homo sapiens, assembly GCF_000001405.40. NCBI lineage: Eukaryota > Metazoa > Chordata > Mammalia > Primates > Hominidae > Homo > Homo sapiens. Next base: position 119,826,229 of record NC_000007.14, on the reverse strand, counting down.
ACTAAGTTGTTCTCTTCTTTGATACCTCCCTAACACCTGGCACATGTTGGGTATATATTATAGAAAATTAATAAATATTTATTTGACTGACTTGTATTCAATTTGATTTAATTACTCAACTTCAATAATCATTGAAATAATGAATTTCTTTTAGGATTTTATTTAAATTAATTGTGTTATTTTAAACTAGGCATTTTTAAAATGTCCTTTTATTTATAAAATTTTTTTTCCTTTGAAACATATTTAAAATGTTTAAAAAACTGTCAGCAAGTACGTTTCATGTAAGTGCTGCACACTAACCAATTGCGCTACTGGAGCTCCAGTAAGTACATTTAAAATATTCAGTTGTTTTACTTTTTAATGGAATGGAGCACATTCTTATGGGTAAAGACAAGAGAAACACAATTTTATTTTTCTCATATTAGTTTGTTTGCATGCACAGATGGAGCTAATGAAAATGGTCTTTATTTCCCATTTGTATTTGTTATCTCCATAAATTGATGGACTACATAATAATTGGGCTATAAAATTGTTTCCATTCATTATAGGAGAATTGGGTAGAAGATATTTCAGGTTGCAGAGCACGGTACACAATATTTCTGTAAGGCTTTCTTTTCTGTTTTTAAGCTCTCTTCTATTTTTTTTTTCTTTCTAAGCTGTTCCAGGGCTCAGAAGCTAAGGCTAGTGCTATGTTCAGTCTGTTTTTTATACAAAGAATTGGAAAGTGAACAAAGAGTCAGAAACACTCTCCCCCACCTCTTCTCTGCATATAATATCATATAATTTCTGTTTAGGATGCCAGTGCTGCTTATGAATATAAACCAACCAATTAAAACAGATGGGAATCAGAAGTCCAAGTAAATCCTTTTATGTAGATGCCTAGAACGTAGATCCTACATTTAATAGAACAAACAAACCCAGTTTTCTTTCTATTCCTTTTGTTTGCCCCTCCACAGCTACAGTTTGTGAGTTTACACTTCAAATAAAAAACAATCAGACTGAAAATATAACTATGCCTTTTCAGCTTGCTTCCAATGTGAGATGAATACTAATATTTCACTCCCTTCAAACAGTGTGAAAAATTGGCCACTGAAAACACTGCGTATGTTAGTGGTGCTCTCACTGGGTCCACTGCTTCATTCATCCTTACTTTTCTTTAAATTGAATTTCAGCTCACAAAACAAAACACAAAAGCAAAAGAAAAAAATAGTGAAAATAATGAAAAGTGTAGAGAACAGTCAGTCAGCTTCCTTACATTCTACCAGAAAATATCAGAAATCAGATTGATTTTTTTTTTTGCAGTTATGCATTTGTCAGGAAATTTAAAAAATCAATTTGTGTTTTTTTGCAACCTAGAATGTCTTCTTGATTAAAAGAAAGTGTGTAAGAATTAGTTTCATTTCTCAGAATTGTGTTGGAGAAATAAATAAATGAAATTGATTTCATTTCCCAGAATTGTGTTTTGAAAGTGCTGAGGAAGTAAAAGTATCCTAGGTCAATGCTTAAATAAAATTTCAGTTTATTGAAAGATATAGGTGAATATTTTGATGTTATATGATTATATGACCTGTTGCTACACACTTTTGACCACTTCTGTGTTCTGAAAGCACTGTCTTCTATTGTCTATACTTCTACTAAATTCACTGGGTTTTTCTAACATTTCACTGGCTTCTACTTCTGCATGAACCTTGCAGACTTCATGTGCTTGGTGCATCCTTGATAGATGTTGGTGTTCCTTTTCAAATATTCTCACTCTCCAGGCATCTGAAACTATATTGGCTTCACTTACAATATATGTCTGATGGCTTTCACATTTATTTCTAGTAACTAGATAGATATGCCTCATATACATCCAACTGTTATTGGACATCTCCTCTTGAATACATCGCATCAACTTCATCCAAACCCGACTTACCAACTTGCTTCTCCTGTATACCTTCTCATTGAAAGTATTAAATAAAACTGATGGAGCCCGGGTCACCATCATTTATTCTCCCATATTTCTCCCTCTTCCTCATTCCTTAAAATCAATAAACAGAAACTACTGATCCTATATTCTAATTATTTTTCTCAAGTTGCTTTACTTTTCACAATACCCCCTACTTAGAATTTTATAGCTAATAGCCTCCTAACTGGTCCCACCACATAGAGTGGTATTTGTAATGTGTAAAACTGTGTTACTCCTAATCTTAAAATTGTCTGTTTTTCCATTGCTGAGCTAAGCTTTAAACATTCCACTGGCCCTTGTTACATCTCCAGATCCTTTTATCAGTCATTTAATAGTACACTCTGTATTCCTACCAAATTAAAATGTTTACTTGCTTCTTCTTTCTTGAAGCTTTATCATGTGTGACATTAAAGTCAACTTTTATCCATTTTCTATGTATTATTTATATCTCAAATTAGAAACTGCCACCTCCAAAATATTCTTCATGATCACTCCCATGTATCCGGATTGGTTGGCTCCCACAGACAACTCTATTTCTCTATCACATCACTTACCACATTTAAAGTAAATAACTATTTGCCTATCTGTCTTCCTGACATACTGGAATTTTTATTGCATAAGTAACTGATCTATCCTTACTGTTGTGCCTACATTAAATGGATAATTTTAAAATTTGTTCAACATGTGATATTCCAGGAGGAGGTTAATAAATATTTTATTAGTTAACATTAACTGAAAGGACACACTTTTCCCTATGTCCTTTGGACTTGACAGTAGGGTTCGGAAAGCACTGGGAATCTTCATATTGCCCTCCAGAGGCACAGAGAGAAGAGGCAAATGTTTAGATATATTTGGCTGCATGATGCCTAACCTTGCTGAAGAACACTCTACTATCTCCTAAGCATAGTAAGAATGACGCAGAGCTGCCAGATCCAGAAGAACCATGCAGCCCGGGGGTGAGAGTTTTATTGGTAACCAGTCAGGAATTATAAAGTGAGAGTTTGTCCCTAATGTTTGATTATTAGTTAGATGCTTGAGTAACTGAGGTTTATTGATCACCATTCTGTAATGGTATTGGAATGAGGGTGGGTGACACTGGAATTTTGTGGACTGTGATTCAAAATTGCCAAACATCTAAAAAAAGCCCAATTATTTCTGACTGTGCATACTGTTTATTAAAACATATTTTTTAAAGCTTAATATTTCCAGGTATGCTAGGTGCTGAAGAGCTGAAAAGACACAGTTCCTCTCTAAAGTAATGAAAAATATAGCAGAGGAGACAAACATATAAACAAATAATCATAATATAACAACCTAAGTACAATAATATGTGCAATTTATGGCAATGGAAGAAATCAACTCTGCTTGATTACTAGAGTAATATTTGTAAAGAAGAAAATGGCTTTGAATTTTGATAAATAAGGAGGAAATTGCAAAAAATAAAACATGAGAGATGGCATCCTGGGCAAAGGGTATATATACATATAGTTTAAAACAGCATACTATTTTTAGGGAATGATAAAGGGTCCTTATTTCCTATTTTCTTGACTCAAATAAACAGCATTCTCTGTGTTCATTCACATTTTGTTTATTGTTTTCTTGTTGTTTTGCAAGTCTTTAGTTCATTTTTCCTTTCTTGCTGTCTTGCTGTGTGATTTGATAATTTTTGTAGTGGTATGCTCTATTTTTTTTCCCTTTACCTAAGTAAAGTAAATACTTTAGTAGTGTATCTACTACTAAGTTTTTGCTTCATGGTTACCATGAGGCATACGTAAAAACCTCTTATAGTTATATCAGGTTAGCTGATAACTTGGTAAGTTTGAGCATATTTAAAAAACTAGATTACTTTACCCCCAATTATTATATGTTTTGTGTGTCATCCTTTATATCTTTTTATATTGTATATCTTTTAATAAATTATTATAGCTATAGTTATTTATAATCCTTCATCTATTAACTTTTATACTAGAGATATACGTGATTTCCCTTTATAGTGTTAGAGTATTCTGATTTCAGTTATATACTTTTACCAGTGAGTTTCATACTTTCTTATGTTTTTCAAGTTACTAATTAATATCCTTCATTTCAGGTGAAAGGACTCCCTTCAGTATTTCTTGTAAGACGGGTCTAGTGGTGAAGGATTCCCTCCGTTTTGTTTGAGTTTGACAGTTTTTATTTCGCCTTCATTTATGAAGAATATTTTTGCCAAGTATGGTATTACTTTTTGGCATAATTTTTTCCTTGGCACTTTGAATATATCATCTCACTGGCTCCTGGTCTGCAAATTTTCTGACAAGAAATCTGCTAAAAACCTTACTGGGACCAGGTGTGGTGGTCAGGCCTGAAATCTCAGCATTTTGGGAGGCTGAGGTGGGCAGATCACTTGAGGCCAGGAGTTTGAGACCAGCCCAGCCAACATAGTGAAACCCTGTCTCTAGTAAAAGTACACATATTAGCTGGGTGTGGAGATGCACCCCTGTAGTTCTAGCTACTCAGGAGGCTGAGGCAAGAGAATTGCTTAAAGCCAGGAGGCGGAGGTTGCAATGAGCCAAGATCATGCCACTGCACTCCAGACTGGGTGACAGAGAGAGATTCTGTTTCAAACAAATAAACAAAAAACAACCCCCCAAAAAAACCTTATTGGGGTTTCCTTGCATGTGAGGATTTTTTTTTTCTCCTGCTGCTTTCAAGGTTCTCTCTTTGTCTTTCATTTTTGTCCATTTGATTATAACACACCTTGGGGTAATCTTTGGGTTGAATCAGATTGGAGACCTTTGAGTTCTTTATACCTGGTTGTTTATATTTTTCCCAAAATTTGGGAAATTTTCAACCATTATTTCTTTAAGTAAGCTTTCTATTTCATTATCTTTCTCTTTTCCTTGTTTAGTACTTATAATGTTAATGTTAGCTCTCTTGCTATTCTCCTGTAAATCCCATAGGCTTTCTTCATTCATTTTCATTGTTTTTTTTAATTTTTTCTCTGACCTCGTATTTTCAAATAACCTATTCTGGAGTTCAAAGATAATTTCTTCTATTTGAACATTTCTACTGTTAATGTGCTCGACTGGATTTTTTATTTCATTTCTTGTATTATTCAGCTCCAGAATTTCTGCTTGGTTCTTTTATATAACTTTACTCTCTCAGTTAAAATTCTCATTTTGTTTGCTTATTATTTTTCTGATACCATTACATTTTCTCTCTATGTTTTCCTAAGTTCATTGAGCTTTATTTAAACAATTATTTTAAATTAGTTGTCAGGAAATTTATAGATCCATTTTTAGGGATCAGTTACTGGGAAATTATTGTGGTCTTTTTGTGGTGATGTTTCCTTTTATTTAAAAATATTTCTTATTGCATTTCATTAATGTCTGCTCATTTGATAAAGTAGTCATTTCTTCTAGACTTTCCAAGCTGTCTTTATTGGGAGAAGACCTCCCCTAATGAGTGAGTGTGAGGACACCCACTGGGTTGGTTGTGATGGTTCTGGCTATACACTTAAACTTGTAAAATATTGATGAAAAAAATTGAAGGAGAAAAATATGTGGAAAAATACTTTGCATTCATGAATTGGAAGAATTATAATTGTTAAAATATCCATACTACACAAATTGGTACAGACTAAATGCAATCCTTCTCAACATCCCAATGGCATTTTTCATAGAAATAGAAAAATAATTATAAAATATGTAGCCAACCACCAAACACTCTAACTAGCCAAAGTAATATTGAGTAAAAAAATAAAACTGGAGACATCACACTACCTCATCTCCAGATATACTGCAAAGCTATAGTCATAAAACAGCATGGGACTAGCATAAAAACAGACATATCTACCAGTTGAACAGGATAGAGAAGCCAGAAATAAATCCAGCATGTACGGTCAATTGATGTTTGAAAAAATTGCCAATACACACAATGGGGAAAGGATAGTCTCTTCAGTAAATGGTGTTGTGAAAACTAGATATTCACATGCAGAAGCATAATATTGGACCCATATCTCACATTATATATAAAAATCAACTCAAAATGAATAAAGACTTAAGCATAAGATGTAATACTCTAAAAGTACTAGAAGAAAAATAAAAAAAAAAAGCATCCTTACTGGGTGCTAATACACCCTTGCTGGGTGTATTAGTTCATTTTCACACTGCTGATAAAGACATACCTGAGCCTGTAATCCCAGCACTTTGGGAGGCCGAGGCGGGTGGATCATGAGGTCAGGAGATCGAGACCATCCTGGCTAACAAGGTGAAACCCCGTCTCTACTAAAAAAAATACAAAAAAAATTAGCCGGGCGCGGTGGCGGGCGCCTGTAGTCCCAGCTACTCGGGAGGCTGAGGCAGGAGAATGGCGTGAACCCGGGAAGCGGAGCTTGCAGTGAGCCGAGATTGCGCCACTGCAGTCCGCAGTCTGGCCTGGGCGACAGAGCGAGACTCCGTCTCAAAAAAAAAAAAAAAAAAAAAAAAAAAAAAAAAGACATACCTGAGACAAAGAAATTTACAAAAGAAAGAGGTTTAATAGACTCACAGTTCACATGGCTGGGGAATCCTCACAATCATGGCTAAAGGTGAAAGGCATGTCTCACATGGTGGAAGACAAGATAAGATAATGAGAGCCAAATAAAGGGTTTCTCCTTATAAAACCATCAAATCTCGTGAGACTTACTCACTACTACACAAACAGTATGGGGAAAACCATCCCCATGATTCCATCATTTCACACTGGGTCCCTCCGACAACATGAAAGAAGTATGGGAGCTACAATTCAAGGTGAGATTTGGGTGAGGACACAGCCAAACCATATCATTCTATACCTGGCCCCATCCAAATCTCATGTCCTCACATTCAAAACCAATCATGCCTTCCCAACGGTCCCCCAAAGTCTTAAGTTATTTCAGCATTAACTCAAAAATCCATAGTCCAAAGTCTTATCTGGGACAAGGCAAGTCCCTTCCACCTATGAGCCTGTAAAATCAAAAGCAAGTTAGTTACTTCCTAGATACAATGGGGGTACAGGCATTGGGTAAATATAGTCATTCCAAATAGGAGAAATTGGCCAAAACAAAGGGGCCTATAGCCCCTTTGAAATCCAGTGGAGGAGTCAAATATTAAAGCTTCAAAATGATCTCCTTTGATTCCATGGCTCACATCCAGGTCACACTGATGCAAGAGGTGGGTTCCCATGGTCTTGTGCAGCTCCACTCCTGTGATTTTGCAGGGTACAGCCTCCCCCATGGCTGCTGTCACAAGATGGTGTTGAATGTCTGGCTTTTCCAGGTGCACGGTGCAAGCTGTCTGTGGACGTATCATTCTGGGATCTGGAGGATGGTGGCCCTCTTCACAGCTCCACTGGGCAGCACCCCAGTGGGGACTCTGTGTGGGGCTTCAACCCCACACTTCCCTTCAGCACTGCCCTAGCAGACGTTCTCCGTGAGGGCCCTATCTCTGTATCAAACTTCTGCCTGGACGTCCAGGAATTTGTATACATGGTCTGAAATCTAGGCAGAGGTTCCCAAATGCCAATTCTTGACTTCTTTGCACTCAAAGACTCAACAGCATGTGGAAGCTGCCAATGCTTGGGGCTTGAACCCTCTGAAGCCACAGCCCAAGCTTTACATTGGCCCCCTTCAGCCCCAGCTGTAGCAGCTGGAAACAGGGCACCATATCTCTAGGCATTACACAGCAGGGGGACCCTGTACCCAGCCCACAAAACCATTTCTTTTTCCTAGGCCTCCAGGCCTTTGATGCGGGGGCCTGCCATGAAGACCTCTGACATGCCCTGGAGATATTTTTCTTACTGTCTTAGTGGTTAACATTTGTCTCCTCATTACTTACACAAATTTCTGCAGCTGGCTCAAATTTCTCCTCAGAAAATGGATTTTTCTTTTCTATAACATCATCAGGCTGCAAATTTTCTGAACTTCTGTGGATCATCTCCTTCAAGTTCAGAGTTCCACAAGTCTCTAGGGCAGGGGCAAAATTATGTCAGTCTCTTTGTTAAAACATAACAAGAGTTACCTTTGCTCAAGTTCCCAAAAAGTTCCTTATTTCCATCTGAGACCATCTCAGCCTGGATTTCATTGTCCAATCATTATCAGCATTCCATTCAAAGCCATTCAATAAGACTCTAGGAGGTTCTTAAGTTTCACTCATTTTCCTGTTTTCTTCTGAGCCCTTCAAACTGTTCCAACCTCCACCTGTTACCCAGTTGTAAAGTTGCTTTCACATTTTCGAGCCTCTTTTCAGCAGTGCCCCACTCTTCTGATACCAATGAACTTTATTAGTCTGTTTTCACATTGCTGATAAAGACATACCGGAGATTAGGCAACTTACAAAAGAAAGACGTTTAATGGACTCACAGTCCCACATGGTTGGGGAGGCCTTACAATCATGGCTAAAGGTGAAAGGCACTTCTCACATGGCGGCAGACAAGAGAAGAAAATGGGAGTCCAGCAATAGGGCTTTCCCCTTATAAAACCATCAGCTCTCATGAGACATTGACTACCACAAGAACAGTATGGTGGAAACTGCCCCCATGATTCAATCATCTCCCACTGGGTTCCTCCCACAATACATGGGAATTATGGGAGCTACAATTCAAGATGAGATTTGGGTGGGGATACAGCCAAACCATATCACTGGGAAAAGATTTCTTTGAACGTAACTGCTATAACACAGACAACAATTGTAAAAATAGACAAATGAGATTAGATCAACCAAAGTGCTTTTACACAGCAAAAGGAACTGGCATTAGTGTGAAAAAGCAACCTAATGTATGGAAAAAATATTTGCAAACAATTTGTTGGAAAAATGGTTAATAGTTAAAATACATTTAAAAATTCGACAGCTTACAACTCAATAGCAAAGACAAGATAATAACCCATCTTTAATCAACATTTTTTAAAAAATACAACATAAAAATGACTACCAGATTCATGAGAAAATCTAAAAATCATGGATCATCAGAAAAGTGTAACTCAAAACTAAATTAGATGTTTTATCACACCAGTTAGAATGTTCATTATAAAAATAAAATAACAAGTGCTGGTGAGGATGGGGAGAAAAAGGAACACTCATACATTGCATGTGTGAATGTAAATGAGTGCACTCATTATGAAAAAACAGTAAATAAATTTCTCAAAAAAATAAAATGGAATTACAATAGATCTCCACTCTTTCAGGTTTTTGCTTCCCTTGTCTCAGTTATCCCCAGTCAACCTCAGTTTTAAAATATTCAATATACAATTCCTGAAACAATTCATAAATTTTAAATTCAATGTTTTTCTGAGTAATGTAAGAAACTCTCATGCTGTCCCACTCTGTCCCTCCCAGAACATTAGTTATCCCTTTGTTTAGCATATGCATGCCGTATGTGCTATGTGCAATTAGTCACCTAGTAGCCATCTTGATTATCAGATCAACTGATGTGTTTTGCAGTGCTTGTGTTTAAGTGACCAGTATTTTACTTTAACAGCTGCAAAGCACAAAAGTAGTGATGCTGATAATTCAGTTATGCCAAAGAGAAGCCATAAAGTGCTCTCTTTAGTGAAAAAGTGAAAGTTCTCTACTTAATAAGGAAAAAATAAACATTCTGAGGTTGATGAGATATATGGTAAGACTGAATCTTCTGTGAAATTATGAAGAAGGAAAAAATAAATTTGTGCGTAGTATATATAGGGTTTAATACTATCTGCGGTTTCAGGCATCCACTGAAGGTCTTGGAATGTATACCTGATGGATAAGGAGGAACTACTATTGCATGTGATTCAACAATTCTACTTCTGAGTATGTATCTAGAGGAATCAAAATCAATATGCCAAAGAAATAGCTGCACCCCCAGGTTCATGGCAGCATTATTCATATTAAATTAAATTAAATTTGTCCTAAACCTTCCTTTATACACAGCAAACTGCAACCTAACAAAGTATGTTTTTGTAACAGATAGCTAAGTCATAGCCAATCACAGGCTGCCAATTGGTCACATAATGACCAAATAAGACAAATGTTGAGCTGTAACCAATCAAGTTGTTTTTGTATGTTACTTCCTTTTTCTGCCTATAAATGCTGCCTACTCACATTGCTGGGTATAGCTGTCTGAACCTCTCCTGTTTCTGAGTGTTGCCCTATTCATGAATCATTTTTTGTTGAAACAAACTCTACTAATTTTAATTTGTCTGGAGTTTTTCTTCTAACATTTACAATAGCCAAGATATGGAATCAATATAAGTGCCCATCAGTGGATGAATGGATGTGGAATATTTGGTGTGTGTGTGTGTTTGTGTGTGTGTGTGTGTGTGTGTGTGTGTGTGTGAGATGGAATACTATTCAGCCTTAAAGAAGAGGGAAATCCTGTCACTTGTAAAAAACATGATTAAACCTGGAGGACATTATTGTAAGTGAAATAAGCCAGGCACACAAAGATAAGTTCTGCATGAGCTTACTTTTAGGTGAAATCTGAAAATGTCAAACTTGTAAAAGCAGAAAATAGAACAGTGGTTGACATTGACTTGGAAGGGGAAAAAGAAGAAATGTGGTGAAGTTGGTCAAAGGCTAGAAAGTTTTAGTTAAACAGAATGAATACGTTTTGGAAATCTATTATACAGCATGGTGACTATAGTTAATAATAATGTATTTTTATTATAATAATTTATACCTGAAAATTGTTAAAAGAGTAGATGTTAAATGTTTTTACTACAGAAAATGATTAAGTATGTGAGGAGATGGATATGTTATTTAGCTTGACTTCTTCATTTTGTAATCTATACATATATCAAAACATCATGTTGTACACCAAAAATATATACATTTTAAAATTTGGCAATTATACCTTAATATAGCTTAAAAACATAACAGAAGTAAAAATAATCTCAAGCCTAAATAAATATAGAATGAGTATAGTCAACAACAGTAACATGACAGTCAGCTGATAAATGGAGATAAATTATGTAAAGTTCTAGTATTGTCTATCAATCAGTAAAAGTAATAACTTGTAGTGTAATAAATAAGTGATGCATGTTTTATTCCTTAGTGTAGCCACTAATGGAAAGTAAAACACAATAGGAATAATACATTCAATAATTTAGAAAAGAAGTAATTCAAAATAGATGTCCATGAAAGAGGTAAGAGAAACACACACACAAAAACATAGGGTAAGACAGTCATAGAAAACAGAACATGAATACATTAAATGGTAATGTACTAAGTAGAATAAGATCAGATTGGTTTTAGAGCAACGTTTTCTTCTTAAGATTAATGCTAAATCAAATTCATAAATTGGACAATTTAATTTTGATTTAAAGTTGAATTATATACATAAATTGAGTAACATAACATTTGAGACTATATTTGTTAGTGTATTAGTCAGGTTTCTCTAGAGAGACAGAACTAATGGAATACATTTTTACATATATGAGGACTGCATATATATATATATATATGAGTTTATTAAGTATTAACTCATATGATCACAAGGTCCTACAAAAGTCTGTCTGCAGGCTTAGGAGCAAGGAGAGCCATTCCAACTTTCAAAACTGAAGAACTTAGAGTTCCATGTTAGAGGGCAGGAAGCATCCAGCATGGGAGAACGATGTAGGCTGGGAAGCTAGCTCACTCTCCCTTTTCACATTTTTCTGCCTGCCTATATTCTAGCCGTACTGGCAACTGATTAGATCGTGCCCACCCAGATTAAGGGTGGGTCTGCCTTTCCCAGCTCACTGACTCAAATGTTAATCTCCTTTGGCAGCAACCTCACAGACACACCCAAGATCAGTATTTGTAACCTGCAATCCAATCAAATTGACAATCATTATTAACCATCACAGTTAGTAACTTCCTATTCAAATACTGTATGTATATATGTATACATGCAGAAAATTATAGTTCTCAAATATAAAGCATGATGAATTTGCAAAACTTAATATACCCATGTAAGAACTCATCCATAGCAGAATATTATTATAAAACTGAAAATGTAAATATAATGGTTTGAAATGTTTTTTATAATTTAAATTATAATTTCTTCCTTAACCCATAGATTATATAATAATTCTATATGCAATAGGAGACTTTTCAAATTTTTTTTTAAATCGTCTATGTCTAGTAGGATCTCTGTTGTATCAAATAATAACTTCTGAATGATTGAAAGCCTTTGATATTTTTTGCGGCTTTTCTTACTAACTAGCATATTGTTGACTTTGGTAAACAATCCATAGGCCCTTGAAAGCATTTGAATTCTGTAGAAATTGAATATATATTTTTATAGTGTCAGCTAGTTCAAGTTTCCCAATTGTGTTATCAGATCTTTTAAAACCTTAATTAATTGTTTTTATTTTTTTAAGAGAAGTCCATTTATAATTCATGATCATATTGTAGATTATTTAACTTTTTCTTTTAGTTCTGCCAAGTGATGATTAATATCCTTTGAAGCCATTTATTGTAAGCTTATAGATTGAATATTGTGATGTCTTACTGTAGGATTAACTTTCTTATCATTTTGAAATGCCAATCTTTCTCAATTAATTTTTTTTCCTAATTATTTACTGGGTCTACATTTGTATAGCTAAAAAGATAAACTTTGGTCAGAGTTTTCATTATAGTTTTTTAATGAACATTTGTGCTTATTCTTTCTACATCTTTATAGTTTGAGTGTGCCTTGTATTATGCATATAATTGTGATGCTGTTTTCCCAGACTCAAATCTTATTTTTTTTTATTTGGAATAGTTAGTCTACATATATTTTAATTACTAATATAGTTCGTTGTATATTTAGCATTTTTCTACTTGTTTTCTCCTTAACCCACCTATTTTCTGTTACTCTTTCTCCCTGTCATAGTATTAATCACATATTTTATTATCATATTTTTCTAGTAGTCCATTTGCTACTTGCACATTTTTGTTATGATTTAGTGGTTACCCTACAGCAGATTATTTCATTCTTGGTACTGTTGATATTTTAGTTGAATAATTCTTTGTTGTGTGGGTGCTATTGTGTTTTGTATGATGTTTAAAAGTATTCCTGACTTCTACTCACTAGATGCCTGTTAAGTACGCACTTCATCTCCCATTGTTCCATCCAAAAGAGAGTTTTACACATTACCAAATATCCCTTGGGGACAAAATTTCCCCTCAGCAAGAGCCACTACCTGAAAAATACAATATTCATTCTTGAATACTATAGTCAATGAAAATTATTTATTTTGACGATCCTATGATAAAATAGAATATTGAAACACTTCAAGTCCAATTACTCCTTTCAACTTTGCATTATATTTTCACGTATTTCAATAGCACACATATTTTAGTCTCTACTATGTACATAAATTGATGTTAAGTCAATATTAAGCCAATATTGATTTAAATCAATTTAAGTGAATATGGAGTTATCTATAGCTACACGCACACACACACACACATACACACACACACACATATATACAATGTCTACCTTTCTTTTATTTATTATACTCCTGAGTTTAGTTGGTTTGGACTGTTAAAATGTACCCTCTACCAGAAGAACTTCCTTGGATATGTTTTTAATGCAGAATCACTTATAACTTTTTTCAATTTTTGTTTGTCTGCAAATATCTTTATTATATCTTCATTTTTGAGAAAATTTCACTAGGTTTACAATTATAGCAGTTATTTTCCTTCAGTACTTTAAATGTGTTATTCCATTGTCTTCCAGCTGTCGTTGGTTGAGTTGTGCAGTCAGTGCAAGGCATCTTAAATCTCTAGGCTGCATTTAAGTTTTCCCATTTTTACTTTGGTTCTTGAAAGTTTTTCTATAATATTCCAAACCTCTCTGCATACCATGAGGTTGATGAATCTGTAGGTTGATGTCTTTTAGTTTTGGAAAAATCCTCTGCTGTTACATATTCTAACAATGCTTCTGTCCCAGATACCATCCTGGTCTTAGTATTTGAAGCCACACATTTCTTAGCCTATTGTGCATGTTCTACATATTTTTTACACATCATTTTTTTACATTATTTTGCTCATAGAGCATCAGGTGGTACCCTTTTTTTTTGGCTCATGTTTCTGATGACTAATCCTGTGTTTAGCTTTGATCAACTTACTTTAAGACATTGTTGAGTTGATAATATCAAATATTATAAGTTTTAGCTCTATAATGACTTTTCTGTAAATAAATGCTAATTGCTGGGTAAAATCATCCATCCTTTTATGTGTTTTATATATACTTTCCATTATGTTGTTTTTATTGTACAGGCATACCTCATTTTTTCACGCTTTTCTTTATTGTGCTTCACATACATCGTGACTTTTAAAAATTGAAGTTTTGTAGCAACCATGCATTGAATAAGTCTATTGGTGTCATTTTTCCAACAACATGTGCTCACTTTGTGTATGTATCATATTTTGATAATTCTCACAATATTTCCATTTTTGTTATTATATCTATTATGGTGATCTTTCATATTGCTATCGTAATTGTTTTGGGATGCTACAAACTGCACCCATATAAGATGGCAAACTTAATCAATAAATGTTGTATGTGTTCTGACTGCTCCAGTGACCAGCTGTTTCCCCATGTCTCTCTGGCACCTCAGGTCTTCCTATTCCCTAGACACAGCAATATTGGATTTAGGCCAGTTAGTAACTCTACAATAGTCTCTAAGTGTTCAAGTAAAGGGAAGAGTCACACATCTCTCTCTTTATGTCAAAGCTATAAATGATTAAGCTTAATGAGGAAGGCATGCCAAAATCCAAAATAGGTTGATATCTAGGCCTCTTGTGCCAAATAGCTAGCCATGCTGTGAATAAAAAAAGAAAATTGAAAGTGATGCCCCAGTGAAGACACAAATGATAAGAAAATGAAACAGCGTATTGTTGAAATAGAGGAAATTGTAGTGATCTGGATAGAAGATAAATCCAGCCACAACATTCCTATAAGCCAAAGCCTAACTTCAATGAAGACCCTAACTCTTTTCAATTCTATGAAGATTGGGAGAGGTAAGGAAGCTGCAGAAGGAAAGTTGAAAGCTAGCAAAGGTTGATTCATGAGGTTTTAAAAGAAAAATCCATCTGTATATCATAAAACTGCAAGGAGAACCAGCAAGTGCTGATGTAGAAATTGCAGCAAGTTATCCAGAAAACCTAGCTAAGATAATTTATGAAGGTAGCTACATCAAAGATTTATAATGTAGATAAAACAACCTTCTTTTGGAAGAATTTGTCATTTAGGACTTTCATAGCTAGAGAGGAGAAGTCAATGCTTAGTTTCAACCCTCAAAGCATATTCTGACTCACTTGTTAGGGGCTAACACAGCTGGTCAAATAAAGTTGAAGCCAGTGCTCATTTGTCATTCTAAAAATTTTAGGCCTCTTAAAAATTATGCTAATTTAACTTTAGCTGTGCTCTAGAAATGGAACAATAAATTCTGGATGACAACACATCTATTTACAGCATGGTTTACTGAATATATTAAGCACATTTTGGAGAGTACTTCTCAGAAACAAAGGTTTTTTTTTTTTCTTTTTTTTTCAAAATATTACTGTTCATTGACCATGCACGTAGACACCTGAGAGCTCTGATGAAGATGCACAAGGAGACTAATGTTGTTTTCATGCCTGATAGCACAACATCCATTCTGCAGCCCATGAATCAGGAGTAATTTCAACTTTAAAGTCCTTTTATTTAAGAAATACATTTGGTAAGATTATAGCTGCCATAGATAGTGATTTCTCTGGGGGATCTGGACAAAGTTAATATAAAACCTTCTAAAAAGGATTCAACCATTTTAGATGCCATTAAGAAAATTCATGATTCATGAGAGGAGGCCAAAATAACAATACTAACTGGAGCTTGGGATAAATTGATTTCAACTCCAATGGAAGACTTTAAGAGAATCAAGCCTTCAGTACAGAAATTAACTACAGATGTGTTGGAAATAAGAGAAGTAGAATTAGAAGTGGATCCTGAAGACGTGACTGAATTGCTGCAATCTCAAGATAAAGCTTTAATGCATCAGAAGATTCTTATGAATGAGCAAAAAAGGTGGTTTCTTGAGATAAATCTCCCAATGAAGATACTGTGAACATTGTTGAAATGACAACACAGATTTTGAATATTATATAAACTTTGTTGACTAAGCAGTGGTAGGGGTTGAGAGGATTCACTCCAATTTTCAAAGGAGTTCTACTGTGGGTAAAATGCTACCAAACAGCATTGCATGCTACAGAGGAACCTTTTGTGAAAGGAAGAGTCAATCAATGCTGCAAACTTCTTTGTTGTCTTATTTTTAAAAATTGCCACAACCACCCTCACTTTCAGTAGTGACCGCTTTGATCAATCAGGCACCATCATTGCAAGACCTTTAATCAGCAAAAAGATTACAATTTGCTGTAGGCTCAGATTTTTATTAGCATTTTCTAGCAATATACTATTTTTAAATTAAGGTATGTACATTTTTGACATAATGTGATTGCACACTTAATAGACAATACTATATTGTAAACACAGCATTATTTAAACTGGGAAGCCAAAAAAATGTGTGGCTCACTTTATTGTAGTATTAGCTTTATTGCAACGATCTGGAACTGAACACACAATATATCTGAGACATGCCTGTATATTATTTTTAGTTATTTCAAAGTCATTTTTTAACATTACTTCCTGCATTATTTGTTATGTTAATGATCCTGTATGTTTTTATACTTGGTAGTCAATATATCTTTGTTTCTTTGCATGTTTGACAATTCTTAACCATATCTATGCACCTTGTATAGAAGAACTATGGAGGCCCCAATAATGTTATCATCTACCAGGGAACATCCCTCTTTTCCTCCATTATACAAACACAATGAGAATCTGAGCACATTGATAAAGCTTCAGATTGAGCTAGGTCTTGGCAAAAATACAGCCTTGGTAAGTTTAGATTTTCTCCTCCTTATTTTTAAGAGGCTGGCAGGATCTGTTGTTTGTTTTTATTTGTTTGTTTGTTTTCCTTTGCTTTTCCTACTTGTTCCTGAAAGACTGTGGGAAATTCAGTTCTGCCCATTAGATATTTTCAGCTTAACTCTTTAGCTTTTGGGATTTTCAGCCTTTAAATTATAGCAAATAAATTAATGATAGGACTGATAGTGTATTTACTTGAGATTTCTTTCATATCCAGCGTTTTTTGCTCCATCTCTACAGAACCTCTAAGAGTTATTTCTTCTTGCTCTATCAGCTTACTTTCTCTACCAAAGCAAGAGTTTTAGCCCAAATCCAAGAAGCTCTGACACACTTATTTAAAATAGAAGTGGCTGCATGTTGCTTAGCTCACCTCAGAAGATATTTTCCCTTTCTGGAATTTTAGTTCATTTAACATTTTTTTTCATAGCTCTCTGGATGCCTTTAAATATGTCTTTAAGATAAAACCCATAGTTTTCTCTATAAGTCAGTATGAGTGTTTAACTGCTAGAACATTCTGTCTTGAAGCAGAGGTCTCTCATAAGTATTTTAAGATAGAAAAAAGACATAGATGAAGTCACCTGACCATGACCTCACAGTTAACACTATATTTCAGTGTAATGGTAAAGATCAACACAAGTCTTCAAAACTGAATTAAGTTCTGTTGACATTACAGCATGATTTGTGGAAAGTAAAATATACTGCTGACTACTAATTATTACTTGAAATAATGTTAATTAGCCTTACATGTAGAGAAACTCTAAATTTTAGAAAAGATTGACCTTTTTATGTTTTAATGTTTAATTATATTTTAAATATTATTTACTGTTGGTTTATTTAAATTACATTGCTGGTTTTATTTCTTACCCAAAAGATAGAATTTTAAGATAAAGCAAGTCATACATCTTACAAAACAATTTTGAAATTCATGTGGGTCACCAGATTCAATATGTTTTATGGCCATATATATATATGGAGAGAGAGAGAAAGAGAGAGAGAAAGTTGAACTTTTTAAATTATGCCTGCAAGATAAAATGTTTGTTTTAAATCATCTATAATGTTTACCAATTCTTTAGGTGTTGCAACAAGAGAAATGACTAAAATTGTAAAGGTGAAATTTGAAAAAACAAAAGATTTATGTATCATAGTGACAGAAAATAAAATTGGATAAATGTTGCCAAAATCAAAGTATTTCATATAATAACTCTTTTTCTTACTATAGGATAGAATTTGTGTTTATTTTATCTCAGGGTTTAATTCTATTACTATTGATCAAAGCTCAATTGTTAGCTGAGAGGACTGTAGAAATTGGAGTACTCAGCTTGCGAATAGTCGATAGGTAAAATATTTTGTTTTGCTCTTTACGTATTCTGTTCAAAAAATTACTTCATCATTAGTATAGGGTATATATATGAAAGAGAGGAAAATGACAAGATAAACATACCAAGGGTCACAGGAATTAATGTACAACCATAATAAGCTGGGATAGTTACTATTTACAAAATGTTAAACTGTGGCCTAAAATTGTAACTTATACTCAGTCTAAGAATACTGATTATTTAATGGCCATAGGTTAGAAAACAATACCCTTCCATATTAATTTTCCCAATGTTTGTTTCTAATTCAAGATTTGTCAATTAACTTAGAGTATAATAATAGTATCACAACGGATAGCAAGGAATGTTCTTCACATGAATGGCAACCGCTCTTCAACTGAAAAGCCTACTTTGAGGTTAAATGTGGGAAAATGAAAGATGTCTCTACGATTTGTTTATTTTTTTCTTGGGTTGAAAAACATTGAATTTAATTTGATGCCACCTTTGGTTGTACCTTTTGATCCAATATCTAATGTTCTGAAAATAATTCATATGTTTTTTATTTAACCTACATCTCTAGGATACTTTTATAATTTTCATTTATCATTTAAGGAATAGTATAGATTATCTGGAAATATTACTCACATATTTCTTACTTGCTTCTAGGTCTCTTCTCAATCCTGACTTCCTTTGCAATATTTAATTGAAACAGGGCACAAATATAACTTAAAATAAAATTTAATTAGAAAATACAGATAGTGGAATGAAGATATATTTCACTGGAACAGAATGTAATTAAGAGAGCCATGAGAGAATAAGCGGGACAGAGACAGAACAAAGAAAGGGGAAGAAAAGCCATGTAGAGTAGTCTGAAGAAATCAGGACAGCAGATTGAGTCAGTCCTCTTGTAAGTAGAATGATTCTTTAATTAGCAAGACCATGGATGAATAATCAGGGAATAGAAAAGGTGTTCTATGTTCCAATGATCCCAAGCGACATTTCTGAAATTGCTTGAATATATATAAATTATACCTGCTTGAAAATAGAAGTTTATTAAAGTTAATTAATTCAAAAAGTAAGAAAAATTTCCTTTTTGGTAGTTAGGCTTATACTTTGCAGAATCTTCTAATACCATTATAAAAGTCCCTTGTTTTGTGCACCGAGAGTTTGTTTTGACATATGTCTTTACTGTGGAGATACTTGAGTAATACAGTAAAAGATGATTTAAACACCCTTTGGGATATAAAATTATGCAGTGCTTTGTATACACGCTTAACACACATTTAATAATTTTAACAGTTTTATTTAACACACACCATTAGGGCAGATATGATGATAATCTTGATTTGTTTTATTATACAATTCAAATTTATAAATATGTTTTATTAATTTAAAAGTGATATAGTTTGTATTTTAATCAAACAGATAGTTAGTAAAAAGTGGCTGCCCCCTGAAAAACTTTTGAATATATCTATTTTTGTGTTTCAATATTTGCAAGCATATCCCTTTATAAAATGTCAATAATGTATGTTAAGGTAGAATTTACTTGAAATATACTCTGAGAAAATGTCTAAAGCCTTTAATTAGATGTAATTTTCTCACATTAGGTTTTTCTTTTAAATGAAGATCATTTGAAAATTGTATTTTGTAAATTATTTTTATATTTGTATTTATTTCAGTACAATTTTTATTTATTGTTAATATGTGTTAGCTTTCCATCAGATATTTTTTAACTGCATGATTGTCTTCAATGGGACAAACAGCTTTAGACAGTCTAATTATTTTAATCATCAAATTACAAACATATATATTTAAAAAGCATCTTAGTTATCAAAGACACAGTCTAGTAGACAACTGTAAAGAAGAAAGACACCATGGCAGGATCATGTTTTTGAAAAAGCCACTTTCTGGGCACTGTTTGCCAGAATCAGGACCACGTCACATTATTAAAGCCAACACACAGTACGATAGCTGGTGCATGACTAATATTAATACCATTGAAGAGGTAAAAATGGATAGTCACTTCTGCTAACTGGAAAGAATTTGTGTTTATATAGCATGAAAATCAATAAAGGCATTTAATGTTGGTAGATCATTTAATGTTGGTATATCAGTTAAGAATCTGTCTTTCTGGTACCACATTGCACCTTAACCATTTCCCATGAGCATATTAATAGAAACTTTGTTATAGACTAACTTACAGATAGGAATAAGCACATATTCCCAGAAAACTTCTGGGAAAATTGAAGGTGTATGCCAGTAAAAGATGCTTTTAAAAGACAGGCATGTCTTAAAGAGACTGTCTTCTAAACACATAGTTTTGGGAGATTTTTTAAAAAGGCAAAGTGAAAGAAATAGCCAATCTTCAGCAAAGAAAAAGAAAAACAAAAGTTGAAAACCACAAAATCAGAGCTAACCTCTCTGGTGTTGTGGGCAACCCATACCCACCACTAAATTAAAGAAGCAAACAAACAAAAATATTGCCAATAAAGTACTAAACTAACAGAAAAAGGTGCCAATAAACTAGAACTCTTGTAAAACACACTAATATAAAAATATTTTAAAATAAAAAAAAGTTGATGTAAGCAAGGAGACAATTTCACACATCAAATCCTGCCCCTTTCCACATTTGATAACAATGTATAAAACCTAGGTGAAAAAATATTTAAAATACTGTTAAAATGTTAAAAAATAATAACGGATTTGAACAAATGGAATAAACACTGTTCTTGGATAAGATTTTAGAATAAAGATATTAGGTGTCTCTAAATTAATTTATAAATACAACCTAACTCCAATAAAAATTCCAACCAGCTGTTTTTGGAGTTGAAGATGATGATTCTGGAGTTTATAAGGAAAACCAAACATTCAAATCAATAATAGCCAGGTAAATACTGGGGAAAATAAACAGACAAAACATAAAACTATGATGTGTTGGTGGTATTACGGGTTTAATTTTGTCTCTCATTAATATATATGAAATCGTAACCCTTTGGAACATCCATGTATGACATTTGGAAATAAGGTTATTGCACATATAATTAAATCATAATGGAATAGGTTGAACCCTTAATCTAATATGACTGGTGTCATTAAAAGAAAAGATACAGAGATAGACTCACAGGGAGAATACTATGTGTTGATGGAGGCAGAGATAGTAGTAGTATGTCTACAAGCTAAAGAGTGCCATGGATGTGTAGCTTCACCAGAAGCTAAGAGAAGGGCATGGAACAGTTTCTTCTCTAATACCCTCAAAGATAGCATGGTCCCTCCAACACTTTGATTTAGGACTTCTAGCTTACATTATTGTGAGAGAATAAATTTCTATTGTTTTAAGCTCCCCAGTTGGTGGTACTTTGTTACAGCCGCCCTAGGATCAAAAGCTCTACTAATACCAAAACACAGTATAAATATTTGCTGTAATGAAAACAGTGTACTACTGGCACATGGATACATATATGTCTATCACCTATCTATCTATCTATCTATGAAATTTGAGTAATTGACACAACAAACATTTGAAATCACTGGAGAAAGATGAGCTTTTAAATAAGTGGTACCATAACATCTGACTGCCTTTAGATAAAATGTCTCACACCATACATAAACTCCAGATGGATTAAGCCTCTAAATGCAAAAAAAATTTAAACCATAGAAGACTAGAATAATAGATGGGCAAATTCCTCTTTAAATGTGAAGCAGTACAAGTCTTTGTAATATGACTAAAAATCCAGACAATATGTGATTTACTGTGGCTACATAAATATTAAAACATTTGCATGACACAAATAAGTAAAGTCAAAAGGTAATTGACAAACTAGGACAAAACATTCAAAATATACAATAAACAAGGAGATTTTATTGCTAATAGATAAAGAACTCAAAAAGTGAAAGAATTAAAGATCAAAGATCCAGTAAGAACGTACATATCTTCAACCTTCTTGCATTTTGCCAATTATCTTAGTCTCACTTTTTTGGTGTGAAAAGAGTGTTTGCTGGTAAGGACTTTTTGCCACAGAAGACCATGTTTTAATATTGAATCAAAGTGAGAAATGAATTTGTCAAGAAAACTTTTGATAGAAATAAAGCCAAATAATTATAATAATGCTAATTGTAAATCACATTAGCTTAAGCAAGACAAGTCAGAGGTGCTTTAAAGAGCAGAGACAAATAGAGGGGTTGCTTGAGAAAACAGGAGTGTGAATTTAATATAGAAAACCAAAGCGTGTGTGTGTGTGTGTGTACACATCTGAAATGTTTACATCTGACAGCTTTTATAGATATGCATCGTATGTATCTTCTAATGGATAGTTATATAAATTATGAATTTATTAATCTAAGTGAGGATTTCAGTTATACTGACCAGCATCAATTTTAGGCCAAATGTAGAACATGTAGTGCATAGTGACTTTTGATGCTATCAATATTCCCTTAATCCCAACTATCAAATTCAATTCTTTTTTTCTACTCTTTAAAGTCTGTTGTAATATCAGTTCACACACACTAAATATTTCTTGACTGATTATGGCTTAGAAGACTGTCAGAAGGGCATTTTCATTATGCAAGGTATTTGAAGTATGAATATCTTGGGTCAGATATTTGAGGGACAATATGGAAGCTCTCAGATCTTCCCAGAGGTCTTGAGAACCATGTTATGGTATCCCCTTACCCCTGAGGGAAGATGCCCTGTGCACATTTAGTTTAGCCCAAAGGATGGTTATACATATCAACGGCTTTATTTCTCAATCTACTTGAAGAATGAACAGTTTCTGAGTCATGCTATCTTTCCTCCAACCACCTTTGCTCTATTTTAATTCAAAAATTCTAATTTTCCCTATAGTTTGTAGCTACTTAATTAGATTAAATAATATCCACTTACCCAGCTTTAATAAAAATGAATTTTGACAAGTGTCACATCATAAATGGAATATATTTCATTCTTCAACTTTCTATGCTAATTTGCTTCATAAGAAGCTTGTCTATGTAAATTGTCCCAGTCACTCTACTTCTGGCTAATTTTGTCAGACACAGGAAAGATCATCTCTAAAATCACACTTTAATAATGACATTTAAAGCTAGACTGTTATTCAGTGCTAGAATAACAAAAAGGCTATCAATTTCATTTCTCTATAGCATTTATATTTTTGGTTATTAAAATTATGCGAGGATGACAAGTATATTAAGAGAAACTACACATGCTTCTGATCCCATAAAACTTGTCTAAATGGCCAGAATTAAGACTAAAGGACTATATATAACGTCAACATAGGTGGTTTATTTTTTTTCTCCTGCCAAGCTTTTATTCACTTTATTGCTTATTCTCAGAACAGAAATAAGCTTAAAGAAAACAAGTTTAAAAAGTCCGCAGATATTTATAACAATGTAAGATTACTCTTAGACATGAGGAGATAGCACGTGTGTGTCTGTGTGTGTGTGTGCGTGCACATGTGAGTGTAATTAAAATTCATTTTACTTTTTAAGATCAAAATCTTTATTTGTAACTTATTCTCCAGTGGATATAAAGTATTAAGATAAGCAATTGACATTCCTTTTTCCTCTAATTTTTATTTATTGTGGTAAGGAAACGACGATTTATCCCTTTAAAATTTTAAGTGTATAATACAATATCATTAACTATAGGCACACTATTACACAGGAGATCTCTAGAGCTTACTCATCTTACATAAGTGGAACTACATTCCTGAACTCAGTGCGATGGAGGAAAAGCTTCTGGGAAATTCCACTGCTCTGTGTATGAGTGAATGTTTGCACTTACCTGAAAACGAGAATTGACTTTGGTATAATACGTATACTGGTGAGAGCAATGAGATTGCTTCTTTCCTGAATTTGAGTCTAAACATTGCAACGTACAAAATGTATGAAATTATGATTGCCTCCTACAATCTTTAAAATAGGCGTAATAGAAACTGACTCTCAGAATTATTGTGAGGAGAGAAAAGGTAATAAACATAAAGGTTTGGTTTTGTTTTTAAATGAGGATTACTAAACAAATGTAAGTTAATGTATTTCATCAGAATTATATCTGATGGTTTAGATGCATAATATTTTTATGATATTACAGTAGACAATTCAAACTTGACACTAAATGATTGCTTTTTCTAGTATTATGGTAACAATGTTGTTACTTGACAGAACAAGGAAGAATGATACTCATAAGGAGATTCAGACCAATGATACTAACTTAAAAATTAATACCTGTTTACATGAACATCCATAGATTGTATGTTAGACTGCATATCAGGAAACATTTTCAATTCCAGCTCTGTAACTTATTTGCGTATCACTGGACCTCGGTTTTCTTCAAATGTAAATATCCAAAGACACTAGTTTTATTCAAACTAAACAAGATAGTGACCAATGGACAAACAAGGAGGGCCAATATGAGAATGCAATGTAGGCTTCAGGGACCCCTGTCTATCTCACTTCAGTCAAAATGGTACTACTTTTATCCTCTTCAGTGTCACGAAGGATTTACTATATAAAAATCATTCAAAAGATAAAAATATAAGAATCCTCGTGGCTTTTATCTTCTATAATAAGAAAATTCTATATAAAGCTCTGATGTGGAAAACTGAAAATCCACACAGAAGTTTCACATAGACAAGTATAGTGATAGTATTACTTTCAACCAAAAAAATAAAAAATCTTAGTCTCTATGATTTACTATTGTGGTATGTTGAGCGTATATTCAGACAGATGATATCATGCTTATATCTCCTCAAGTGCTAGATTTTACATTGATGACAATGAGGCAGTTCTATTTAGAAAAAGTCTGAAATATTCTAAAGGCAAAGCAGTCAAGAAAGACCTACATGCATTAAAATATCAGTCAAATAAAAGGGAGCAGATAAATAACAAGACTACTAAGAAAAATATGGGGGTATCAGGTAATATAGATTTAAGTCAACAAGATTGGGAGTCCAGGTGGAAAGAGGATCAGTGACCTCTTTCAGAATCCCTGTAGCATGGAATCTAGTTGTAGCAGCTGTGATCTCGGAAAGGTAGAAGAAAAGGTGTTATTGGGTGGAGAAAGTAAGAGAAGTGAAATTTTTATTGGTGAATATGCTTTCTACTTTGCATTGGTATCTTTGACATTTCCTGAATGAGAAATACTGGTAAAATAGTGACTAATGTCTAAGGTAATTTTTTTTTTTTTTTAGCAAAATGTGACTGAAAAACAGAAGCATTTGGAATACGTAACAGAAGTCATTAAAAAGAGGTATGATGAATATGATGAACTTAGAATGATACTGATCTTCACAATGAAGCATAAAGTTAAAAGCAGATAAGTATTGAACCTTAAAAACTCCTTATATTATATAGATTTAATCCAAATGTGAGTATTTTGTGGACTTAAAGGAGGCAAAGTGATTTTTATAGTACGTAGCGAGTGTTTTACAAGTGTAAGGGGTGACTGGAGAGAAAAATAATTTAATAAAATTTAGAATTTTTAAAATGTTTCCTCTTTAATCATAAACTAAGTACCTAGTTATGCCAACCTCTGGAGTAGGGATAACATGATGAATAAAAGGTTTTACCTGCTCCTGAACAACAGAGTCTAAAGCAAGCTTGTCTAACCCATGGCCCACGGGCTGCCTGTTGCTCGGGACAGCTTTGAATGCTGCCCAACACAAATTCATAAACCTTCTTAAAACAGTATGAGCATTTTTTGCGATTTTTTAAAGCACATCAGCTGTCGTTGGTGTTAGTGCATTTTATGTGTGGTCCCCAACAATTCTTCATCTTCCAATGTGGCCCAGGGAAACCAAAAGATTAGACACCCCTGGTCTAAAGGATAGGAAAAGGAGATAAATGAAATTTAATATGTTAAGCTACACAATAAAAAATAACAAAATGCTGTGCTAGCATATATGGAAAATACTTTTCCCAGTATTCATCTGACATCATTTAAAATTTTACAGGTCAGAGGACTTTAAATGTTCATATTTAAATGTAGATAAGATTTCAGCTGGCCACTCTAAAGTGAAAAATCAATTGGACATAAATAAATGCCCTACCCTGTGACTGGTTTAACAGCATGATGTATGTTATATTGGAAAAAAGCCAACCTGAAGTTTTAAGATATCAGCATGTACTTTGGTGGAAGATGAACTGATTGCCCTGTCTTCAAACAAGTATAAATTCTACTGGAATTCATTATTTAAAAAAACAATAAATTTGAAATAATTTTAGGTAGTAACATAATAGAAATTCCTTATTTTGCTTTCTCTTTGAGTAATTAGTTGAATTTTCTTTTTTGTTCTTTTTTAAAAAAAATACAGAAAGCAAACTTTCTAGTAATTGGCATTTTATTGTAATAATAAATCCGTGTTTCTAATATAAAAATCACAGAAACAGTTTTGGGACATTAAGGTTAAGGATTTTTCAACTCTGATTTTTTAACACATGTGCCAGGATATCATTCTTCATTGGCAGAATTAGAAATCCTTGGCAGAGTACACTTTACCAATTAGAAAAACTACTACATTCCATCATATAGACCTATGTTGTTTAGTCATTTTCCTAATAAAACAATGAGGTTTGCAATATGATTGGGGTGAGGTATAACTCCATTAATATTCTGTGATTATGACTGCCTTTTAATCCCAATTTGTGGCATGGTAATAAAGGGCTTATTAGGAGATCAGTGATGCTCAAAATGACATGTAGTTTGAAAGTCAGGTGTGGCCACATATTCCTTGGATGTCACCAAAATTCGTATATTACATTACTTCCTCCAGCAGCAGACCACATATGAGATGGTACCTGTATATTTTTCCTTACTTGGTCCCTTCAGGTTGGAGAATTGAGATAACTTTATTTAATGTGCATCCTTAAATTGTGACTTCTTTGGAGATCATAGCAGGTAAATTATTAGCTTGCTAGCTTCTTCATTTGTAAATGAGAAAGAAAAAACTTCTGGAAGTAAAATCAGGACAATTTTTCTAAATGTACTTAAAATCCTCTATACTAAGGTTTTGTGAAATCGGAGAAACTGTAACTACTCTTAAAAAAAAGTATTTGTTTTTATATAATGTTTCTGTGTTTTGGACAGTGTCTTTAATTCAGTTATGAAGTTCAGTCTTTTAAATACAGCTATCCCTTAGTATGCCCATGGAATTGACTCCAGAACCTCTGTGTAGACTAAATTCCACACACACTCAAGTCCCACAGGTGACCCTATGGAGCCACTTAAGTGAAAATTTGCCCCTCTGCCTATGTGGGGTTTGCATCCCATGAACAGTATATTTTCAATCCCTCTTTGGTTAGAAAAAAATTCATGCATAATTGGACCCTTGAAGTTCAAACCCGTGTTGTCTACTTTGGTCATCTGTTCATGCAACAAAACAAAACAAAACAAGAAACAAAACATGGACATACACTTTTTTTTTTTTTCAAAATAACTGATTCACTTACCACCAACGCTTAGAAAGAATGAAAATGGAAGTATATCTGTGTACAAGTTAATAATGCACATGCTTTTAGTAAAATGCTATTATGATAACCATGATATTAAAGTATTTGTCATTAGGATTGTGCACATGTGGTAATAATAACTAGCATAATATGTTTGAAAAAAGTACCAAGCACACCTCTCTCAGTGGAGAGAAATCATCTTTGATTGGCTTTGTCATTTCCTATGATTTGCATACAGTCACCCCTGTATACTGGGGATTGGTTCCAGAACCCCTGTGGATACCAAAATCCATGGATAAGCAAGTCTCTTATAAAAAATGATGTAGGGATAGAGGTGGAGCAAGATGGGATAATAGAAAGCTCCATTTATCATGCCCTTCACAAGAACATCCAGTTAACAAGTATCTACACAGAAAAAAATAAAAATAAAGAAAACCACCTTCATAAGAACCAAAAATCAGGTGAGCACTCATAGTACCTGGTTTTAACTGCGTATCACCGAAAGAGGAACTGAAGAGGTGGAAAAAGCAGTCCTAAATCTCTGAGGCCACCCCTCCCTCACCCTTGGTAGCAGCAGTGGTGTGGTGTGGAGAGTTTCCCTGGATACTAGGAGAAATATAACACAGCAATTGTGAGGCATTGAACTCAATCCTGTCCTGTCCTGTTAGAGCAGATCCTGTCCTGTTACAGCAGAAGGGAAAACCAGACCAAACCCAGCTAACACCTGCCCACTGGGGGAGCACTGAATCCAGCCCTAGCCAGCGGGGAATCCCTGGTCGCAGTATTCCAAACTTGAGTGCCTGCAAACCCCATCACCGATAGTTACAGCACTCTGTGTCTCCAAGTAAACTTGAAAACCAGTCTAGTCCATAAAGACTGCAACTCCTAGGTCAGTCCTTGAGCTGAACTAGGCCCAGAAACAGTGGACTGAGGGGGTGCGTGACATAACTGAAACACCAGCTGGGGAAGCCAAGGGAGTGCTGGTACCACCCCTTCCCTAACTCCAGTTTACATAGATCAAGGCTCCAAAAGAGACCCTTCTGCTTGAGGACAGGAGAGGGAAGAGTGGGAAGGACCTTGTCTAGCATCTTCGATACTAGCTCAACCACAGCAGAATAGGGAACATGTCAGAACTTTGAGGCCCACACTTCAGGCCCTAGCTCCCAGACAACATTTCTAGACACACCTGGGCCAGAAAGTCACCTATTGTCTTGAAGGAAAGGACTCAGTCCTGGCAGCATTCATCACCTGCTGGCAGAAGAGCCCTTGGGCCCTGAGTAACCAGCAGCAATACTCAAGTGCTACATTGAGAACCTTGGATAAGCTTCTGAGACATGCTGGCTTCAGATGAGACTCAGTACATTACCAGCTGTGGTAACTATGGGGCAAAACTCCTTTTGCTTGAGAGAAACAGAGGGAAAATTAAAGGGGACTTAGTCTTGCACCTTAGGTGTCAACATAGCCACAGGGAGATAGAGAACCAAGTGGGCTTTAGGGGGCCCCAATTTTAGGACTTGACTCTTGAATGGCAGTTCTGGACCTGTTCTGAGCTAGAGGGGAGTCCACTGCCCAGGGTGAGTCCCAGGTCAGGCAGCATTCAATGACCAGCTGACTTAAGGACCTTGGGCATTAAGGAAACGTCTGTGGTAATCTGGCAGTACTCTCTGTACTGGGGTGGTGGTGGCTGCAAAGTGAAATGGTGCTGGGGAAACTGGCTAGCCGTATGTAGAAAGCTGAAACTGGATCCCTTCCTTACACCTTATACAAAAATTAATTCAAGATGGATTAAAGACTTAAATGTTAGACCTAAAACCATAAAAACCCTAGAAGAAAACCTAGGCAATACCATTCAGGACATAGGCATGGGCAAGGACTTCATGTCTAAAACACCAAAAGCAATGGCAGCAAAAGCCAAAATTGACAAATGGGATCTAATTAAACTAAAGAGCTTCTGCACAGCAAAAGAAACTACCATCAGAGTGAACAGGCAACCTACAGAATCGGAGAAAATTTTTGCAGTCTGCTCATCTGACAAAGGGCTAATATCCAGAATCTACAATGAACTCCAATAAATTTACAAGAAAAAAACAACCCCATCAAAAAGTGGGCAAAGGATATGAACAGACACTTCTCAAAAGAAGACATTTATGCAGCCAACAGACACATGAAAAAATGCTCATCATCACTGGCCATCAGAGAAATGCAAATCAAAACCACAATGAGATACCATCTCACACCAGTTAGAATGGCGATCATTTAAAAGTCAGGAAACAACAGGTACTGGAGAGGAGGTGGAGAAATAGAACACTTTTACACTGTTGGTGGGACTGTAAACTAGTTCATCCATTGTGGAAGTCAGTGTGGCGATTCCTCAGGGATCTAGAACTAGAAATACCATTTGACCCAGCCATCCCATTACTGGGTATATACCCAAAGGATTACAAATCATGCTGCTATGAAGACACATGCACACGTATGTTTATTGCAGCAGTATTCACAATAGCAAAGACTTGGAACCAACCCAAATGTCCAACAATGATAGACTGGATCAAGAACATTTGGCAAATACACCATGGAATACTATGCAGCCATAAAAAATGATGAGTTCATGTCCTTTGTAGGGACATGGATGAAGCTGGAAACCATCATTCTCAGCAAACTGTCGCAAGGACAAAAAACCAAACACCACATGTTCTCACTCATAGGTGGGAATTGAACAATGAGAACACATGGACACAGGAAGGGGAACATCACACACCGGGGCCTGTTGTGGGATAGGGGAGGGGGAGGGATAGCATTAGGAGATATACCTAATGTTAAATGACGAGTTAATGGGTGCAGCACACCAACATGGCACATGTATACATATGTAACTAACCTGCATGTTGTGCACATGTACCCTAAAACTTAAAGTATAATAAAAATAAAATAAAATATATCGGATACATAAAAAAAAATAAAAGGGAAGGGAAGATTAGGAAGGTCAGCGTCTTGTGACTTGAGTGCCAGCTCAGCTGGCATACAATAGAACATCAGGTAGACTTCTAAGGTTTTTGACCCTAGTCCCTGACTATCGGACAGCACCCCTAGGCCCACCCAGTGTCTAGGGACCATACTGTTCGGAAGGGAAGGCCCAGGTCTGGCTGGCTTTGCTCCCTAATTGCAGAGCCACAGGGCCTTGAGTGAACATAAGCAATAGCCAGGGAGGGGTTACAGTGGGCCTTGGGCAAGACACAGAATTGTGCTGGCTTCAGGTCTGACCCAGCAAAGTATTATCAAGAGTGGCCCTGAGGGTGCTTATGTCACTCCACCCGCAGTTTTAGGTGGCTAAGAACAGAGTGAGAGACTCTGTATGTCTGGGAGAAAGAAACAGGAAAGAACCACAGTCTCTGCCTGGTAATCCAGATAATTCTCCCAGATCGTGTCTAAGACCATCAAGATGGTCCTTCTATGAGTCTACAAGAACCACAGTTTTACTGGGCTTGGGGTTCCCCTTAAAGCAGATAGAGCTTAGATAACAACATGTAAGTCCTTTCAAATATCTGGAAACTCTGCTAAAGAAGAATGACTATAAATAAGCTCAGAGAGTAAAGACTACTATAAATACCTAACACTTCAATGCCCAGACACCACAGAACATCTACTAGCATCAACACCATCCAAGAAAACATGATATCACCAAATGAACTAAATAAGGCACAAGGAACCAATCCCGGAGAAACAGAGATATGCAACATTTCAGACAGAGAATTTAAAATGGCTGTTTTCCGGAAACTTCAAGAAATTTAGGAGAACACCAAGAAAGAATTTAGAATTCTATCAAAAAAATGTAGCAGAGATTAGAAGAATTAAACAGAATCAAGCAGAAATTCTGAAGCCGAAAAATGTAACAGGTATCCTGAAGATTGCATCAGAGTCTTTTAATAGTGGAATTGAAATAATTAGTGAGCTTGAAAACAGACTATTTGAAAATACACAGTCAGAGGAGACAAAGAACAAAAAGTAAAAAACAATAAAGCACACCTACAGGATCTAGAAAATAGCATCAAAAGAGCAAATCTAAGAGTTACTGGCCTTAAAAAGCAGGTAGAGAAAGAGATAAGGGTAGAAAGTTTATTCAAAGGGATAATAACAGAGAAGTTCTCAAACCTAGAGAAAAATATAAGTATCCAATTACAAGAAGGTTATAGAACACCAAGCTGATTTAACCCAAAGAAGTCGGCCACAAAGCATTTAATAGTCAAACTCCCGATGGTCAAAGATAAAGAAAGGATCCTAAAAGCAGAAAGAGAAAAGAAACAACAGACAATGATGCTCCAATACATCAGCAGACTTCTAAGATGGAATCTTATAGGCTAGGAGAGAGGGGTATGGCACAATTAAAGTGTGGAAGAAAAATAACTATTACTCTAGAATAGGATATCTGGTGAAAATACTCTTCACACTAGAAGGATAATTAAAAGACTTTTCAAGACAAACAAAAGCTGAGAGATTTTTTTTTTTTAACCAATGTCAGGTCTCCCTACAAGTAATGCTAAAGAGAATACTTCAGTCAGAAAGCAAAAGACATTAATGAGCACTAAATAATCACTTGAAGGTACAAAATTAACTGGTAATAGTTATACACAGAAAAACCCAGAATATTATAACATTGTAACTATGGTGTGTAAACAACTCTTATCCTAAGTAAAAAGACTAAATGATGAACCAGTCAAAAATAATAATTGCAACTTTTTAAGACATAGCACAATAAGATATAAATAGAAACAAGAAAAAGTTAAAAAGCAGGGGGTTGAAATTTAAGCATAGAGTTATTATTAGTTTCCTTTTTCCTTGTTTGGTTTGTTGTTTATGCAAATAGTTAAGTTGTTATCAGGTTAATATAATGGGTTATAAGATCATAATAACCTTCATGGTAACCTCAAACCAAAAACATGCAATGGATACATAAAATATAGAAAGCAAGAAACTAAATCATGTTAACAGGGAAAATCACCATCATTAAAGGAAGACAGGAAGAAAAGAAAGAAGCAACATAAGATCATAAAAGAACCAGAAAACAAATAACAAAATGGGAAGAGTAAGATCTTACTTATCTATAGTAATTGAATGTAAATGGACTAAATTCTCCAATTAAAAGACATATACTAGATGAATGAATGAAAAAACAAGACTCATTGATCTGTTTCCTACAGGAAACACACTTCACCTGTGAAGACACATATGGACTGGTAAAAAAGGGATAGGAAAAGATTTTCCACATCAATGGAAACAAAAACAGAGCACAAGTCATGATACTTATATCTGACAAAATAAGCTTCAAGACAAAAACTGTAAGAAGAGACAAAGAAGGTCATTATAAAATGATAAAGGGGCCAATTCAACTAGAGGATATAACAATTTTAAATACATGTGCACCTAACACTGGAGCACCCAGATGTATTAAAAAAATCATTAGAGCTAAAGAGAGAGATAGGCCCCAATACAATAATAACTGAAGACTTCAAACCCCACTTTTAGCATTGGACAGATTTTCCAGAAAGAAAATCAATATAGAAATATCAGACTTTATCTACAGTATAAACCAAATGGGTCAAATAGATATTTACAGGACATTTTATCCAAGAGCTGCAGAATACACATTCTTTTCATCAGCACTTGGATCATTCTCAATGATAGACCATATGTTAGGTCACAAAACAAGTCTGAAAACATGCAAAAAAATGAAAAATATCAATCATCTTTTCTGACCCCAATGAAATAAAACTAGAAATTCATAACGAGGAATTTTGGAAAGTTTACAAGCACACAGAAACTAAACCATATGCTCTTGAATGCCCAGTGGGTAAGTCAAGAAATTAAGAAAAAAATTGAAAAAGTTATTTAAACAATTGATGATGAAAACACAACATACCAAAATCTATGGGATACAGCAAAAGCAGTACTAAGAGGGAATTTTATAGCTATAAGTTTCTATATCAAAAAAGAGGAAAAACTTCAAATGAAAAATTTAATGGTGCATCTTCAAAAACCAGAAAAGCAAGGGTACATGCCTAGGAATTAACCAAAAAAGTGAAATTTCTGTAAAATGAAAACTGTAAAACACTGATAAAATAAATTGAAGAGGACATCACAAAAGAAATTGAAGCAGACACCGTGGATTGGAAGAATCACTAAAATGTTAAAATGTTCATACTACCCCCCAAAACATCTACAGATTCAATACAATCCCTTTCAAAACAGCAGAAACATTTTTCAGAGAAATAGAAAAAACAATCCAAAAATTTATATGTAACCACAAAAGACCAAGAATAGCCAAAGCTATCTTAAACAAAAGGAACAAAACTCAGGAATCACATTTCTTGACTTCAGATTACACTACAGTGCTATAGTAACAACAAACAGCAAGTTACGGGCATAAAAACAGACCAATAGACCGGAAGAGAGGACGTAGAAACAAATCCACACACCTACAGTGAAACCATTTTTGAGAAAAGTGCCAAATACTTACATTGGGGAAAAAGCAGACTCTTTAATAAAAGGTGCTGAAAAAACTGTATATCCATATGCAGAAGAATAAATGAGACCATATACAAAAATAAAATTGGATTAAAGACTTAAATCTAAGACCTCAAACTATGAAACTACTAAAAGAAAACTTATTTTGGAAAATCTCCGGAACTTTAATCTGGGCAAACATTCTTGAGCAATACCCCACAAGCACAGGCAACCAAGACAATAATGGACAAATGGAATCACATCCAGTTAAAAAGCTTCAGCACAGCAAAAGATACAAGCAACGAGGTGAAGAGACAACCCACAGAATGGGAGAAAATATTTGGAAGCTACCCATCTGTCAAGGGATTAATAACCAGAATACATAAGGAGCTCGAACAACTCCGTAGGAAAAAGCCTATTAATCTGATCAAAAAATGGGCAAAATATTTGAATAGGCATTGCTTGAAGACATACAATAGCAAACAGGCATGTAAAAAGGTGTTTGACATTATTGATCATCAGATAAATGAAAATCAAAACAATAATGAGATATCATCTCACCCCAGTTAAAAATAGCTTACATCCAAAATTCAGTTACCTTTATCTGCCTTGTGTTATCTATTAGTAAAATAAACATTACTGTGGAAAGATACATGTGAGGCAGGAAGACATACAGGAAAGACTTAAAAAGAAAGCTATCAGATAATGAGAGTGAAGGAGAGTTAGAAAGGTAGTCCGCAAAGCATGTCATAATATAGGTTTAGCTTGAAGAAAGCTAATGATCAGGAAATACTTAAAAAATTAGAATGCGGAAAAAGAGTGTAGAGGAAAAGACTACTGGTGACACTATGAAACTCGTTTGTTTCTTCCTTAAATTCTCATGTTTTAAACATATACCATATCCAAAGAGAAAGAAGGGTTCTAGATAATTTGATGTTTAACCACATTGATCAATAGCATACATCTAGTAAGAAGCAGAGCCAGGATTTAAACCAAGATAAGCACTCTTTCTACTCCATCTCACTACTTCCCCCATGGGGCTATTATTTGTTCTAGACAAAAAGGATTTAAAAATGGCTGACTGTAAAATCTGATTGGAGAGTATATATAGGCCAAAATGGACCACATTATTGAATTTGCAAATTATTTCTTCCTTTAAAGCATTTAGGCACTATTAGAATTAAAATAATACTGGGAAGTTGAAATAACATATTAAGCCATTATCTGCTTATCACATGTAATTTTTCATTGGGTTTACTCTCTTAAGAAAATGGATCACAACATATACAGTTTTTGATCCCATAAATGATTAGAATGAATGTACTTTTTAAGAATATGCTATGGCTTGAATGTCCCCTCCAAAAGCCATGTGGTAATGTAATCTCCATTGTGGCAGTATTAAGAAGTGATTAAGCCATGAGGGATCCACCTTCATGAGTGGATTAATGACATTTTTGCAGAAATAAATTTCTGATAAAAGTGAGCTCACCCTCCTCTACCCTCTTGCTCTCAGATGGACTTTTTTGCTATTTCACTTTCTGCCATGGGATGACATAGCAACAAGAACTTTATTAGATAGCTCCAAGACCTTGGACTTCCTGGCTTCAAGAACTCTAATGAATATTTTTTTCTTTATAAGTTACCCAATCATGGTATTCTGTTATATCAACACAAGGTAGACTTAGATTGCAACTTTAAGAAGATGTCTCGATGAGTTCCCCAGAAGTTTAAGCAACATTCTTATACTAATTTTTTAAGTGAAAGTTAACAGGATGCTACCGAACCTAAAATGGGAAATGTACATGGATTAGACTGACAGAACAATAATCTCATATGTATTGAAATTTTGCTTGTAAGTGGTTCAAATAACAAAAATACACCATACACACACATATATGTACATGTGCCCACATACACTTACATAAATGCAAATACAAATATAACTTTCCTTATATTTAAAATATTTGAGAATCCATAACTTATTTTTCTAAACCCCACTATATCTCATGTGTAAAATAGGTTCTACACTGTTTTTCTTCTCTCATGTTTTCTGTTTGGCCTATGTTATGGAAGTTAGTGGATCCCTTTGCTAACCTTCTGTAATTCTTGTACAAATTTCTAAGATAACATTTATTACCTTTTAGCAATTATTTACTCATGGTGCTATCTCTCCCATTAGACCTTTAAATTCAAGAGGGCAAATGAAATTACTTATTTGGAATTGTATTCCTTGCTCATAGCTCATTTCAGAGCACATATCAGAAAAGAAATATTTTTTATGTATAAATGAAAATGATAAATAATGGTGTAATTGATGGACTATAAAGACATTTTAGGTCATTTTAGATTGTAGACAGTAAGAACAATATTGGTATATATTGTATTTAAAAACTCGATCACATACTTGTTCAGCAATAAAGCACTCAATTCCTTTTTAAAAAATATCTTGCCATAGTTTTTTGCTTGATATTGACTAATGTGGGATATAGCCAGAGGCCTGAAGAGAAAATCTGTGTCTTTGATAGCTACTGGTGATCCTGTATTTCCTCTAAAAAGTAGACCTTATGGTCTTAAACCAAATCCCAGTGAAAATAAATTTGACGCAAACCCAAAAAGCACTTAGATCACAGGGAGTGATTTAGTGTTATATCATTTATTTGATTTTAGAAAAATACTCGTAATACCTAGACCCACTATAGTATTATTGAAATACATTTAAGGTATTTTTAGAGAGGGAACATTGTTATAATCAATAGTCAGAAGTATGCTGTACTTAGATTATAATAGGCATTGAGCCATGTGTAACAAACCTAGAAGATGAAATAGAGGTGGATTTGGCAGACTCTTCTGAAGGACCACATTCCAATGAGCTGCTGTAGCCAAAATGGCCAACAAAATGGTGGGATTTGTTACAAGGAGCATTATGAACAAAACAACTTGCATATTACTCTCATAAACCCATGTGTCCAGTCTACTAGAATACTGTGTGCAGTGATGTTTTGGTTGATGTATATCAAAAATATAGAAACATTCCAGAGAAAAAGTAATACTAGAAAAAGACTTTTGTTTGTGAGAAGGATAGACCCAAGAATGGTTTATTTAATTGTAGTAGAAATAACCCCTTTTACTGTATCATTATAAACTGGTGTAAACAATTGTTTGCTCAAACTATCTAGGAGTTCCACAGCAAAGTATCAATTTTATCTCAACTAAACCTAATTTGCATCATAAAAAGTTATTCTATTATTTCGTTTTTGGTTCTAGAGAGGGTGTTTTATGGGGCAGAGGGGAGTTTATTTCACCTAAAAATTGTGATGAAAATGAAAAATGTATCTTCTGAGAAACTTCTTATTCATGGCTGCAAATAACAAAATAGTTCTGAGTAATTGAAGGGTTTCTAAAGGTGGCAAAATATTGGAATAAATATTATTAGCAGCAAAGATAAATAAATCTAATATGTTTTTAATTACCTGGGCAACACATTTCAAAGTTGTTGTTGTTGTTGTTGTTGTCCTGGGCTATACATTTCAAAGTTGTTGTTATTGTTGTTGTTGTTGTTTTGCTTTTAAAAAATAAACCAGTACAATGCAGTGTTGGTTACCATAACCATAGCCTTATAGTATAGTTTGAAGTCGGGTTATATGATACTTTCAGCTTTGTTCTTTTCGCTTAGGATTGCTTTGGCTAGTCCCAAGCTCTTTTTTGGTTCTATGTGAATACATTTTTCTAGTTCCATGAAAAATGTTGTTGGTAGCTTGCTAGGGATAGCGCTGAATCTGTAGATTATTTTGGGAAGTATGGCCAGTTTTTTTTCATTTTTACCGATTTAAATTTATTACAATTTTAGGAAGTTTTGAGAAAGCTTCAGTAATAGAGTTTTTATTATAGTAAAAAATATGTAACATAAAATGTATCACCTTAACCATTTCTAAGTGTATAGTTCAGTGGTGTTAAATATGTACATATATGTATTTATAAATATATTTAATTTTTAAATTTTGTGGATACATAGTAGGTATATGTATTTATGGGGTACAAGACATATTTTGATACAGGCATGCAGTGTGTAATGGTCACATCAGGTTACATTGGATATGCACCTCCTCAAGCATTTTACCCTTTGTGTTACAAACAATTCAATTATACTCTTTTAGTTATTTTAAAATGCACAATTGCATTACTATTCACTATAGTCACCCTGTTGTGCTAACAGGTCCTAGATCTTATTCATTTGTTCTACTTTATGTTCCCATTAACCATTCCCGTGTCCCCTCCACCATCCCTCACTACCCTTTTCAGCCTCTGGTAACCATTATTCTAGTATTTATCTTGATAAGTTCAGTTGTGTTGATTTTTAGATCCTGCAAATAAATGAAAACATCCAAAGTTTGTCTCTGTTCCTGGATTATTTTATATAACATAATCAACTCCAGTTTCATCTATGTTGTTACAAATGACAGGATCTTATTCCTTTTGATGTGCTGCTGGATTCAGTTTGAAGGTATTCTACTGACAGAGACATAGACGAATGGGACAGGATAGAGAAGCCAGAAATAATGTTGCAACCTTACAGCCATCTGATCTTCAACAAAGTCAACAAAAAGAGACGATGAAGAAAGGGCTGCTCCCTATTCAATAAATGACACTGGGAAAACTGGCTAGTCATACTCAGAAGAATAAAATTGGACCCCTTCCTTTCATCATAGACCAAAATTAACTCAAGATGGATTAAATATATTTAAATGTAAGAACTCAAAACTATAAGAATCCTTGAAGAAAACCTAGGAAACAATATTCTGGACACCAGCCTTGGGAAATAATTTATGACTAAATTCTCAAAAATTAGTTGCAACAAAAAAATTGACAAGTGGAAATAACTAAACTAACAAATCTTCTGCACAGCAAAAGTAACTATCAACAGATTAAACAGACAACCTGCAGAATGGGAGAAAATATTCACAAACTAAGCGTTTGAAAAACGTCTGATATTCAGAATCTATAACAAACTTAAACAAATCAGCAAGCAAAGAACAACCCCACTAAAAAATGGGCAAAAGACATGAAAAGACAATTCTCAAAAGAAGAAATAGAAGTGGCCAGTGGACATTGAAAAATGCTCAACATTACTAATCATCAGAGAAATGCAAATCAAAACCACAATGAGATACCATCTCAGACCATCAGAATGGCTATTATTAAAAAGTCAAAATACAGCCGATGCTGGGGAGGCTGTAGAGATAAGGGAATGCTTATACATTGTTGGTGAGAATGTAAATTAGTTCAGCCACTGTGGAAAGCAGTTTGGCAATTTCTCAAAGAACTTAAAACAGAACTACCATTTGGTCCAGCAATCTAATTACTGAATATACATCCAAAAGAAATTAAATTATTCAATCAAAAAGATACATGAACAGGTATGTTGATAGGATCACTGTTCACAATAGCAAATATATGGAATCAACAACCTAGGTGCCCATCAATGCTAGATTGGAAAAAGAAAATGTAGTACATATACATTATGGAATATTATGTAGCTACAAAAAGAACAACATCATGTCTTTTGCAGCAACATGAATGCACCTGGATGTAATTATCCTAAGTGAACTAACACAGGAACAGAAAACCAAATACCATAAGTTTTCACTTTAAAGTGGGAGCACAACATTGGGTACTCATGGACATAAAGAGGGCAACAATAGACACTGTGGACTAATAGCGAGGGAAGGAATGGAGGGGGACAAAGATTGTAAGACTCTTGATTACTATGCTCAGTATCTGGGAGATGGCAACAATTGTACCCCATACTTCAACATCCTGCAATATACCCAGTTAACAAACCTACACTTGCATTCCCTGAATCTAAAGTAAAAGTTGAAATTATAAAATACAATAAAAATGAAAGACAAAAAGAGTTAAAAGTGTCACATGTGATAGAAATCCTTGTTCCCTAGAAATATTTAGGCCTTTAGGCCTAAAGGTAAATAACCTTTAGGCCATAACTCTGTATACAACAGCTGCTTGATATAGTCATTTTTATCATTAACTACACAAACGATCTTGCCTCAATATCTATATGTACTTTAATTCTTACTCATTTTGTGTCACCATTCCCATGCAGTAGAATACAGCATGCAATTTGAGAAACTGCCCGAAAAATTGTACAGTATAAGAATTTTTTATACAAATGGTTATAATAAAAAGTTGGAAGTGCATCATAAGTGTAGTACAAAATTATAAAGTACTGGTTTTGATAAAAGAACTTAATGAGCTCTCCCTTTACTCAGGAGTATGCTTTATGCAACTTGATTTTATTTGATTTCTGTCTGGTAATATGGAGAGAATTTGAGTATGAGTTGGAACAGGAGTGGGTATATTTGAGAAGCTGGATGTATAAAGTAGAAAAAAATACATGGACAAATTCTCAAGGAATATGTTTTGTGTGTGCAATAACTAGTTGATAGTTAATTTGGGAAGATACAAAAATATGTCCAAATTGTGAGAAGATTTAAACGTAAGGTTTAGTAAAGGAATTCTAAATAAACAATATTAAAGTGGAGATGAATACATTTTGTAATCTATGTAATCTCATGCATCATTTAATTAAAAAAAGATAGCATTTCAGGTTTGGACAATATGTTATATCTTGCATGTCATTTTGCATAAGATGTACTGGTTCCATAGCTTTACCTTTAATGTAATTGAAGCTATGGAACCAGTACATCTTATGCAAAATGACATGCAAGATATATTGTCCAAACCTGAAATGCTATCTTCTTAAAAATGTTTATTTCAAGAGATGAAAATTATGGTTTTCATGTTTTGTACTGTAGAATGAGAAGGAAACACTTTTGAAAAATTTTAAATGGACATTTAAGTATGAGCCTTTTTCCCCCAGATAACTGACATACCTTAGTACTTCTGAAATATTTGAGACTGAGACCTCATTTAATTTGTGGGTCAATAATACACAATTTATATGTATAATACTTAGGGTATATGAGAACCTATATGCATATGTGAATCAAAATTATTTCAGGACAAAATTATAACAAGGACAATACATTCCAGTAAAGTCACAAGTAAAATATAGATATAAAATGGATGATATAGAACCTCTAATCTTGTTGCCTATTTGAGTAATGACTATTCACTTTTTCAAAAAATTGGTATTTTTGACATTTATATTTCCATTTACAATTTTTTAAAGCCAATTTTAGTAGTAGTTTTATGTCTGCCATATCAATTAAAATACTTGATACCAATATTTTAATAACTTAATTATAAAGAAGTTATATACATATATTAATTCAATTATATATAATCATTAATTTTAAAAATCAACAATGAAGAAACTGCAAATTATGCTTGCTTTCAATGAAAATATTCAGATAACCTAGGAATAGCCTGTACATAACAGATGTTAATACATTTTGCAAAGCAGTACTATTTCAATTAAAAATACAAATTCTTTGCCAGAGATTTAAATTGTATCTCAAAATTCATTACAGTTATTTTTTTATTCAAAATTTTTAATGCTTTATTTGTTTGCTGGCTTGTTTGGAACCTGCTATAAAGGAAACCCTTCTCTTGTGTTAAGGCTCCTGTAAGCAGTAGTCAACTTTTCAGGGAAGACTAGCTCAGACCACAGATAAAGATTAACGTTCTTTGTTTCCATGTGGTGGCTGGCCTCTTGGTGGAAGGTATGTAGTCATTAATTATTTAGCACTTCTATTGAAATATGTTTATTTAGAACTTGATATCTCATACATGGCTACAAAGTAGATTGAGACTGTAAAGTCCAACATGCTTATAATGGGATTTTTTTAATCAATTATAAAATTATTAAAAATACAAATAAATTATGAATAATCCTGAAGTCAAACCTAGCTTAAAATGTTTCATAAATAGCTTAATAAATGGCATAAATTGAAAGCTTGTTGTCACAATAATATTTAATGAGGATTCCATACCTTTGTATTAATCAGGATTCCACCAGAAAAAAAATAACTATTAGGATATTGCATAGATAAATAGACAGCCAGACAGATAGATAGTGTTATACACATTGGCTTATACTATTGTGGGGACTGATGAGGCATGTTTGCAATCCATTGGGCAGGCTGCCAGAAAGGACAGGCTCTCAGGAAGGGCAGGCTGGAAACTATGGCAGGAGCTGACGGTATACTTTACAGGCAGAATATTTTCTTCCTTCACATAACCTCAGTTCTGCTCTGAAGGTTTTTCAACTGATTGGATAAGGTCTACCCAGATTATCAAGGATATTCTATGTTGCTTAAAGTCAGCAGATTGTAGCTGTTAATCATACTTACACAATAACTTCAAATAACACCCAGATTAGTATTTGGTGGAATATCTGGGGATGATATCTTGCCAAATTGACCCAAAATACTGACGAGTATACCCACAAATATTAAGAAGAAGGCAAAGATATCCTGTGGCATTACCCTTTTTCAACATTGTACTGGAAGTCCTAGCTAGTGCAAATAAGGCAAGAAAAAATAAAAGTTATACATATTGAAGAAAATATTTACAATTCTTATGTCTAATAAACAATTTTTATCTAGAAGATTTAGTAAAACCCCTAAAACTTAACAATACGAAAATGAAAACCCCAATTAAAATTAGGCAAGAAGTATGAACAAACCATTCACCAAAATTATACAGATGACATATAAACATAGGAAAGATGGCCATGTCATCATTTATCATTAGAGGAATGCAAGTTGAAATCACAATTTAATACCTCTATCCACTTATTGGAATGGCTGTAGAAAATCACACGATGATGTTCATTGCTGGAGTCGATGCAGAATAAGAGAAATCCACATTTATTGATGGTGGGAATGCAAAAATGGTAGAGCCACTTTGAAAGAGAGTTTGTCAATTTATTATATATTCAGAAATAATCCTACCACAATACTTGGTATTCCTGTTCCTATGTATTTATCCAACATACTGAACAAATTCTGCCTACACAAAAGTAGGTATGTAAACATTTTTAGAAGCCAAACCTGGAGTGAATGTATAAACTATGGTACAAATATACAATGGAATAATATTCAATAATAAAAAGTTAGTTATTTATTCATGGAGGAACATGAATGCATCTTAGATTAATAGTGCTAAGTGGAAGAAACCAGAGAAATGCTGCACACTGTATGATTTCATTTATATGGCATTATGTGAAAGGCAAGCTATAGATATGTAAAATAGATCAGTGTTTGCCAGGGATTTGTGAAGGTGTGAATTTTGAGAAGGGGGTTTTATTAGAATGGAAGAACTAATTTTTTGTGTTACTGGAGTGGTAAATATAACTCAATGCATTTTCAGCATCCATAGAAATTTTCAGCACAAAGTGTGAACATTAGTATGTGCAATTAAAAAATAAAAGTCAAAATAGGTGTCAGAGGATCCTGGCATAGAAGGTAGACTATAACAAGAGAATCCAACTGTTAGAAGTGTATAATATAACCTAATTAAAGGAGTGTAGAAAAATGGTGTAAAGTCACCCAAGTGATATGGTTTGGCTCTGTGTCCCCACCCAAATCTCATCTCAAATTCTAATCCCCACGTTTTGAGGGGGGGACCTGTAATCCCCATGTGTTGAGGGAGGGAGGTGATTGGATCTGGAGGCAGTTTCCCCTATGCAGGTCTCATGATAGTGACTCAGTTCTCATGAGATTTGATGATTTTATGTTTTTTGAAGTTTTTCCTTCACTCGTCCCTCTCTCTTGCCTGCAGCCATGTAATATGTGCCTGCTTCCCCTTCTGCCATGATTGTAAGTTTCCTGATGCCTTCTCAGCCATGCAGAACTGTAAGTCAATTAAACATCCTTTGTTTATAAATTACATGGTCTTTGGTAGTATCTTTATAGCAGTGTGAAAACAGACTAATACACCAAGTAACTTTGCAAAATGATGTTTGACTGGCAAGTATAAGACAAAAGACAAAGGAAATTACATATCAATGCTGTACTTCAGTTGATAAAATTTGTTTCTCAAAATAAAACACAAAGAATTTTATAAAGGATCTCATTATTGACTCACGGCTACACCATCTCTAACCTTAACTTCTTCTATTTTATCCATGCATTCCATACCAGCCCCGTTGGCATTCCAAATTCACTATGTGTGCAAATCATGGAATCATTTCCTGCGATAACTCCAGGTTCTAATTCTGTCATAATATTTTGGGTCTTTGACTTCATCTTTCTGATATTTTCTAGTTCCCTTGGATTATGTGACTTTTGATTTCTCTTTGTTCTTTCAAAAGTGGATAGAGCCTCCAACAACTTAACCTGTGCCTTATTTATGAAAACTGTGCAACTACAGTTTCTTTATTTATACTTCAATTAGTTTCTTATTATTGGTGTTTCCTGCCCTCTGGCCAATTTTATGTTTTTAAATCTTAATTTGTCTGGAGCATGCTTCAACCTCAAACTCTCATGTTTAGCATTTTCATTGATATTACACAGTAAGTAGTACATTTTATTGACATATTTAAAGTTTCATTTGAATATTTAAAGTTGATTTTCAGATATGTGCAATTTAAATATTGT
The DNA here is from genome assembly GCF_000001405.40 of Homo sapiens. Classification (NCBI taxonomy): domain Eukaryota; kingdom Metazoa; phylum Chordata; class Mammalia; order Primates; family Hominidae; genus Homo; species Homo sapiens. The sequence goes on along the minus strand of NC_000007.14, from coordinate 119,781,539 downwards.
AAGGTATTTATTGTGTATTCTACTTAGGTATCAAAACACCCATTAACATATTTTACTTCTTTATCTCTCATTAACAGTAATATATTTTCCAATATTTTATTTTAAAATGTATAGTAACTTAGAAGTACTTTGGCAATGAAACTTAAGAATACAAGTTCTTTTTCTCCTCAGAAAGTTTTACTTAGTCAATATTTGACTACATAACGTGTTAAAGATAATAAGCCTATCTAAGTCTCAGCAGATCAAATTTACTTTCCAATTCCCTTCCCTACATGTGAATAAACTCAGTACAAATTCTGGATTTTGTCAAGCCTTGAGGCAAAATCAGAATTTACTAATAGAAACTGAAGTAGAAAGGTTCCTTGTGACAAATGCCAGAAGAACTAATTCTTTTCCTCTACATTAAATAAAAATAAAATCACTCTGCTAATGGGATACTTGAAGTTGTTATATCAGAAAATAAAATGGTGAATTCTCCTTAATAAAACTTGGGACAATAAAAAATGAAACAAAAAAAGAAAGAAAACTTCTTGAGTCATAAATTATCTCAAAAATATGCCATACACACCAATTCTGTTTTCCATATCCACAACACTAAATGCTCCCTTTTATTTCAAGCTAAGCATTAAATTTTTCATTCTGTCAGACAACATTGTTTCTATCAACTGTACCTAAAAAAGGACTTTTCAGAGCAGAAGGAAAACAACCAAATATACAAATGTAATTTGTATGATAAAAGCTGTAAAAAAGTGAAGACTTATGCAGAAAATCATCTCTGAAATGTATCTGAATGAATATAAATAATGATGTTCCGATTAAACTTAGTATGTGTGTCATGAGAAGGGCATAGCATGGGTACTGTATTACTTGAGCTTAATGTTTCTAGTGTCTGTTTTCTATTACAACTTATCATTGTACATGTACTATATTTTAACTATGAAAATAAAAATATAAGCCAAAAAATAAAGAGAATATAACTATTTCTCTTTTGCATAGTATGTGGTACCCACACATATTAGGCTCTTAAGTGACATATAGTTTTGTGTGTTTTTTTAAAAAAGAGGAAGAAAACACAAAGTCTCGCTCCATCACCCAGGCTGGCGTGCAGTGGGCAATCTTGGCTGAATGCTACCTCTGCCTCCCAGATTCAACAGATTCTCATGTATCAGCTTCGCTAGTAGTTTAGATTACAGGCACTTGCCACCACGCCCATTTTTTGGGTTTTAAAAGAGGCCAACAGATGACCTCTCTACCTGCTACTGCGACTTAATTCATTGCTGTGTCACCACTGCAAAGTGCCTAAAAAGCCACCAACCCTAGGATGAGACATTGAATTTAGTTATCATCTTTCTCCAAAGACCATCTAAATAAATTCTATCACACACTTCGTCACTATTTATTCTCTTTTACTTTTAATAAACTATTTTAGAACAATTTTAGATTTGCAGAAAACTGTGAGGATATCATAATACAGAGTTTCCAATTTCCACATACCCTGCTGCAAGTTCTCCCTATTATTAAACTCTTATGTAAGCATGGTACACTCATTGCAATTACTGAAATGATATTGATTTTTATATTATTATTGCTATCATTATGTAAATGCCGTGCTTTATTCGTATTTTCTTTTTATGTTTCATGCATAAGCCCATTCAGGATACTGCATTGTATTTAGTTGTCATGTCACATTTGCCTACCTTAATTTTGACGATTTCTCGGACTTTTCTTGTTTTCGATGACCTTCACAATTTTGAGAATAACTTGTCAGACATTTTGTAGAATATTATTCCGTAATGTTTGTCTGGTGTTTTTCTCATAATTTGACTTGGGTTATGGGATTTGGGGAGGAAAGGCATAGATGTAAAATGCCATTTTCCCGAATATCATATCAGTGGTCCAAACTATCAACCTGACATATCACTCTTGATATTTACCTTGATCTCCTGGCTGAGGTAGTTTTGTCAGGTTTCTGCATTGTGAAGGTATTCTTTTTAGTCTTTTTACCACAGTCACCTAGAAGGACATCTTTATGT